>NC_000013.11:72044469-72195984 GCF_000001405.40 Homo sapiens | reverse complement strand
CTTTTGGGGCTCCTGGTATTTATTTTTGTGACTTACCCTTCAAAAATTGTGCATTTTAATAAAGATTAGGCTTTTAAGAAGTACACCTTTAAACCTTACATCAATTTGAATGGAATAAGTCGGTTATTTCTGGCTGAAAATTTTTCTTACTCTTAAATCTCTTTAACTGAAGCTCATTTGACAAACCTATTATAAAATGAATAAATGCAGCACTGTGTGATTTGTCCACTGTCAACATGTTAACACACTTTATTTGAAGGTAGATTGATGGAGGGTGGCTGAAGGAGTTTACCCTCCTGAGTTAAAGAATAGAAAACCCTTTTTCTCAGTTTTTTTTTCTTCGAAGTTCACAAGAGTAGATATACAATTATCCTCGACTTGCTGATGCAAAGGAACAGAGCATTTAGTTTCTTGTCACTGTCTCTGAAATTCCTAAAGGTACAATTAGCATTTCATTTGACATAATGTTGAAAGGTTCATAGATTGATCTTCCCTAAAATGCAGCAAGAATTTTTTGAAATGCAAATTTTGACATTTATTAACTTTTATTCCAGATCTGTTTATAGACTGTAAAACTGTGCATACATTTAACTCGAAGAAGCTAAAAGGACAATGTTTAGGTGGATACTCTGTGTTATAATAAAAGTCTATTTTATTGTTTCAACAATGAAATTTTTATTATCAGAGATTTATGATATCAGCACAGCAGTTTTTACTGCATGATTCACAGTGTTTTTATAGATGTATATTCAACAAAACAAGGAGAGAAATTGTACTGCAGTACTCTCTCTCAGGAGTGCATTTCCCCATTGAAATAATGTCAGCAGTTTTCCACCTTCAAAGCCCTATGTTTTCAAATCAATTAACAATTCTAATTGTGCAGGAACAGTTGTTCACTTAGCTTGGCAAATGGGACAGGAAACATTATTTCCTTTCTTTGCCTAAAATGAAGACTTTAATCTTCTGAACCATATTTAACATATAAAAAACACACAGCTGAAAAGTTCGACAGTTTGAAACTCGGTTTGCTGGGGCCTTCTGCCTTTCTCCATGGCCTACATTAATTTTCCCGTCTTCCTCAAACCTTGCAGGAAGGCTGGAGTCATAAACAGTTTTACATGTGTGGGTGGACAAACCATCTTCAGATTCATTTAGACTTTTCGTTAATCAGATATTTATCTAGCCAGGCAGTTCTAAGGGTTATTACTTCTCTGAGGTAGCAAACCAAACATTGGTTCTGACCTAAGTTGCGACAGGCAGTGCAGATCTGTATCGGCAAGTTAGAAACAGCTGACGTGGCAGCGTGGGGGAGCCAGGTCTGCTGTTTCACTTAAAGTCCTAATGTCATTTCCACTTAAAAAAATTTTTATTGGGATTAAAGTGCAGCTTGTATGATATTGAACAATGTGGTTCATAAAACAAGGAACACATGCAATCTTATAAGACATTATTAAGTATGTACAGTTTAACCTTTTCTTTTTTTAACCAATGTATATTTGAGTTATAGCTCATAGTGTCTGTCCATATTTATAAAATGGATAAATGCTATGATTTGAGGAGATATTTAGTACTTCAGCATCAGTGAAAAAATGTTCTTTATTATGCTTTCGATAGCTTCTGAGATTATTCAAATACATATTTTTAGAAAGATGGCTTGTATCCTAGAATGATTAAAAGTCTCCAACAAAATAAAGGCTTCTTGATTCACTTCCCCAAGTATTTTAATTTACTGTAGTCGCGTGGATGAATCTCAGTGTGGAAGCCCTATGGCTCGTTATTCCATTTGAATCTTGCTAATTTCAAAGTACACAGATTCTATTTTTATCTAGTAAGGATCCCAAAATTTCTTGATCATATTTTCTTAAGCATGCCATTGCAGGTAAACATTCAGGTTATTCAGTTTCCCCAAATAAAAGTTAAAATACACTCTTGGTATCTCATGAAGATCGAATTTGCAGGAAAATGGTGCATAAACCAGGCCACATGTGTGTAGACTTTGTTGTCTCAATGGAACTGCTGCGGCTGATTTAAAAGTAGGGATGCATTCTGTGGCTGATCTGGTTTAACAAGGAAGTGCAAAATCACATTTTGGTCAGGTGGATTTCAAATGCTTCTGAATGTAGTTCAAGATCGTCAGTAAAAGTCTCTTGGGCCAATGAGTAGTAGCAAATTCCGTGACAGTGTAACAGATAATATAGGACATCTCCATGCATATTTTCTCTTAAACAACAAAAATAACAGGGAAAGAAATTCCGTGCAGAGGTATTATCTTCCCAATGTGATGCGAATGAAAGAAACTCGGTATTTTAAGCATGTTTATGTGTTTGAAAGTGTATATATTTTTGTGTAGTCACATACTTATATGATGTGGCCATAGCTCTAGCACCTTTAAAATCTTATTCAAATGTCACTCACTCCGTGACTGAAGATTTCCCTTATCTCTGCCAAGTGAGAATGAATGATCTCTCCTCCTATCTGTATCCATATAGTGCTTTTAACAAATCACCCTAATTGTACTTAACATTTTCAACTTCAAATTATAACTGTTTTGTATAATATGCCATATTCCACGGTGAGCTTTTTGAATGGGTCAGAATATATTTTATACAAATATGTGCTTTTCATTGCACCAGGTGTTGTGTACAGAGTGAGCTGCACAATAAAGTATTAAATGAGTGCAGAAATAGGAATACAGGGCTCATGTACAGCAGGGTTTCTCAGCCTTAGCACTATTGGCACTGGAGGCCAGACAATTCTTTGCTATGGAGGCTGCCTGTGCATTACAGGATTTTAGCAGGATCCCTGGCCTCCACAACTAGATGCCAGTAGGACACCTACTCCAAGTTGTATCAACAAAAAAAGTCTCCAGACATTGCCAAATATCCTCTGGGGCAAAAAAGTCATCATTCCCTCCTTCTCACATTGAGAGCCACTGATACACACACACACACACAGACACCTCCCAAATACAGAAGGAAAGGCCAATATAATGTTTCTCAAGGAAGCTATAAATTATCAACACAGTCTATGAAATATTTAGCCCTATCAAATCATCTCATTGGTTATACTCACAAATCCTAATAGCTGCATCTTTCTCTCCCCCTCCACCATCTTCATAGGTTCTCATTAACATTTCTTTTTAATTTGCTCAGGTCCACACTAAAATACATCCTTGTTATATTCGGGTTCTGTGAGCTTTATGCCTATACTCACCTCCCCATGTGTGATTTTGAGACTACCATCTTAAGAGTAAAATGAGTTTGGCTTGGCTAGGTGTTCTATCATCACTGTTGCATCAAGGCATGTATTTCAATGAGGAATCAGAATTTATATGTGTAGCTTCCATGGAGTTTTATTTGCATTATCTACATGTTTGTGATTTAGACATGAGTATGTCCATATTTGAGAGTAGTTTTAATACTGAGTAGAGTGTTAAAGAAAGAGGAAATGGAATAGAAAATGTGGAGATTTCAACAAAGGAATTTTATCTGAGGAAAACAAGACAAAGAGAAAAATCAGGAGGAAGGGAGAATTGAAAGAATGTCTCATCAATAAAAACTAGTCATGCTTTGTGTGGTCTCCTTTTTTTTCCCACAGTTTCTCTCTAGCTTGAACCCGATGCTTTAATCATTTTATCTTAGCCTACCTACCAAACCAAAATCTTTGCCTTACTTACTCCTTTATAGTTTTAGTCCCATCATCATTGATATTACTATTTTTACTTCAATATTTTAAATTATCATTATACCATGCCTATAGAAAGAAATCATATATTTTGAAATAATAAAAGAAAGAAAAAATGGCAATTTCAGGAATAATTGTAAGAAGAAGAAATGTAACAAAAATCTTGAATAGTCATTCAAAATTATTTATTTATTCATTTATTTATTAATCTTTAACCAGAATAAAAGATGGGGAGATGTTAAAACTGGCATATGTAGTCATTAACAATATAGTCAGATAAACTACATTAGCCCTAAAATACGGACAATTTAATGGCAAAGAATGAGGCAGTAAGGTAGATCTAACAGAGATTAGCAACAAAATGCACCCCAATAGACTTACACACTTACTGGAGATGAAGCACAAAATTGCTTCAAGCTTTCTTGTAGGTAATGTGAAGAGGAAACCATTATGGGTAAGATTCAGTGTCTTTTAGATGAAAAACCACACCATTGTTTAGGGCAGGCAGAATTATGTTTTATCCTGAGATCAGAGAAACACTTTTCCTTTGGGAAAAAGATGGTGAACTAGTTATAACAACAAAGAACTAAACTAATTTCACACTTTTAAACAACCAAGTAAAAGGGAAAACACTTTGAATTATGTAGTTTTAAATATTCCCCCAAAAGCAGAATACAAACTTAACTAGAAAGAAAAAATAATATTTCCCTGTCACTAAGCTATAGGAAAGATTTGTCACATGAATGCTCCAATAAGAGACTTTGGGTTATATGATGTTCAAACTCTTCCACTAGCTTTTCCAAAAGATGTAGAATGGCTCTCCAAACAGATGAATGACTATTCTTCAGAAATGACCTTTTGTAAAAGCTGAGGGCATAAAATTAAATCATAATTCAGTGAAGGCATTTTTCCAGAAAATAAGATAATATAATCCAGGTATATTACTTTCAGATGCCCTCACCTAGGTCAGTAATAGCATTTAGAGAACTTTGGAGGAATAGAAACTTAACATCCTTTAGATCGATGGTCCTCAAATCTTTTCTGTCCCACCCAGTGGTAAATTAGGCAAAGCATGGGAGAAAGAGGTGAATAGAGTAGAGAAACCTGGAAAGATGCTGTTTTACCTTCTGCATACGTATAAATTCTGTTATTCTGAACAGTTTCATTTTTATTTAGACTATTAAAAGTGTCAATGGAGACTGCAATATTTCCAATGTTTTTAGCCTTTAATGGCCTCAGTAAACCTGAAGAATAGGATTTTCTTCTATCAGTAATATAAGTATTGAAGATAGGATTCGCAACCTGGGAGTTAGGGCTAGTGTCATCTGGGGTGATAGAATGACAAGGGGTGAGGTTGAGAGGAATGGAGTCATCCTGAATATCCAATTTCTAGCAATCAATGTAGAATTTGCAAAAGCACTCACAGTGATTCTCCAATGCTTTACTATGCTTCCACCCTCCCTAGCCACTTTCTGGACACTGCTTTCCTCTCAAAAATCAGCACTTCCACTGAGCTTTTGGTAAATGGTTTGTCACAGTCAAATTAAAGCTGAATTTGCTCATCAGGGCCTGAAGTGCCCATCTTCTGAGCTATTGATTAAATAAAGGTGCACGTCCCTTACGTACCAACTGTACAAGTAGCAAATTAGATAATGCTTTGAAAATTTAAGAATTTCACAGGTATCCTTGCTCAGG
This sequence comes from Homo sapiens, assembly GCF_000001405.40. Lineage (NCBI taxonomy): Eukaryota > Metazoa > Chordata > Mammalia > Primates > Hominidae > Homo > Homo sapiens. The sequence goes on along the minus strand of NC_000013.11, from coordinate 72,190,605 downwards.
AAATGGGAAGTTCACTGTAGGTGGTATAGCAGTGTATGTCTGGAAAGGGCTCATAATTTTTCTCAAAGAACCTCTTTATTCTGAAGTAGATACTTGCAATGAACTAATACCCCCAAATTCTATGCCATTAAAGCACAGATACATTTTAGACACCTCAGTCACAAAAGAAACAACAGTCAGAAGTGATTTTGAGCAACACCTCATTCTAATTGATTTGCCAACATGAGTCAATTGCCAAATTCACTTTTGTGTGGTGAACCAGGACCCTATTGTAGGTGTCCAGAACCTAGGATTTTAAAATGCATCAACCTCACTAGAATCCTTTTTTCAATAGGAATACAGTGTGTTCCTATTTATTGTTATTTCTTTTATCCTACACCGAATAAGCCAGGATTATCAAGTCAGAAAAAAAAAGCTGCCCTAGATTAAATACTACGAGAGGATGGACAGGTTTTATGATTCTTGTCACCATAGTGAGAGCCTGATTTCCCCAACACCCTTATACATGAATTCATGTTTGCATATGTCATTGAAGATCCCCATATTGTTTTTAGGGTCCCTCGATTTGCACTCAATACTTCTGACTTCAAAGTCAGAATTAATGCTGAGTTTAAACAATTTTAATAGAGCTATTATCATTTGTATATTATGGCTACATTAAATGATCCCATATGTTAATGTATACTACTCATTATTTTTAAGGAAAATATTTGGCAAAAATAAAGGAATGAAATAATTTATTTTATATTAACAGTTTGTATCTTTAGTTTACATTTGTTGCAATATGTATAAAAGCTGGAAAGGGAAGACTGACAAAAATCTCTGTGGGGACAGGAAATACAGAAGAACTTGTGACTTCAGTTTGTTTTGAGAGAGGGTCCATATCTTCTGTTTCAGTCTCAGTTTCCTGTTTTTGCTCCATTTAGCTATGTTCCTACATTTTTTTCCTCCACTCCATTTCTGGTGTCTCTTTCCCCAATTCGAGGGGAAGCCCTGGTTTTCCACCACCCATTCTGCTCCTGATTTTGAACAGGGCGTCTCATCTGCCTACAAATCTGAGTGAATTAACCATGGTCTGTTCCTCCCAGATCAGTGAGCCCCTCAATCTTTTTTTTTTTTTTTTTTGAGATAGGGTCTCACTGTGTTGCCCAGGCTGGAGTGCAGTGGCGTGATGATGGCTAACTTCAGCCTCAACCTCCTGGGCTCAAGCGATCCTCCCACCTCAGCCCCTGGAGTAGCAGGGACTGTAGGTACATGCCTCCAAACCCAGCTAATTTTTGGATTGTTTTTGTAGATTTGGGGTTTTAGCATGTTGGCCAGGCTGGTCTCGAACTCCTGTGTTCAAGCTATCCACCCACCTTGGCCTCCCAAAGTGCTGGGATTACAGTTATGAGCCACTGTGTTGGGCTAAGTCCCTCAATCTTAACTGCCTCATATTTCACTACGCTTCCATAACCTCTATGAACCTAGAGTTGTGATGACTGGCCCCTTTCTGGGGATGGCTTTCCCTGGTGGCTGACTCTGTAAGCTTTCTTTTCTCTTCCTTCTTTCCAAGAGTCTGTCCTTTCTCACATCCACAAGCCACATTTCTGAGAACTGACATTATTGAGGAAGTCGGGGAATCTCTGAATGGGAGAAAAATAATAAAATACAGACTTAAGACAGATATGTGAAAATCAGCTGAAAATAATTAGGATCTTTTACTCAGTGGAACAGGAGGACCAAAGAATTTGAGAAGTTTGGTGTGATCTTCAGAAGGCATGCAGAGTAAACACGTAGGGTTATAGAAATATTTAAGAAAAGGGTCAATTTGTCAAACTACAGGCAAGGGTAATGACTGTAGTGTTTGCAGTTATATTAGAAATGATTTCTTTACTGACATATATTTTTAATAAGGAATATTTTAAAGGTAACATTTTTAGATCTACTTTTACCTCTTATGATGCTTACTTTTCCTCCCTTACAATATCTACGATCGGGGAAATTCCATAAACAAAGCATGCTTTTTTCTTACTAGGTCAAAACGAAGTGTTACACTAGCCTCTTAATAAATGTCAATTACCGTCCCTTCTCCCTGAGCCTGGTATTATGCTAATAACATTCTCCTGAATATTCATAGACTCAAAAATGTTTGATCAGGAGAGGAAGTTAGAGATGCCCTCACCCGATTCTCTCTAATAATGATGAAGACACTGTGGCTCAGAGACTGGAGGTGGCTTGCCCAAGGTTGCCCAGCAAGTTAACAATACTGTCAAGACCAGGAGCGATGTTTTGGTGTAAAGAAGCAGCACAAATAAAGGCTCTGACTTAAGGAGATGACATTTTCCAGGAAGCAAGAAGAAATGTTGTTTCTAGGCCATAGAGTTAGGTAGGTGCCAGACCATGCAGGGTCTTAAAGGCCATAGCAGGGATTTAGAGAGTAATGAGAGACTTTAGATGTACAAAGATGGATGGTGACATTACACTGGCATTTTGAGAAAATGCATTTCTAAAATATTTTCATTTAGTAATAAGATTCTCTACTTCTCATATATCCTTACTCTCAATTTAGGATATAATGCTGCTTTCCAATCAGATTGCTTTTTACCCTCATCTTGATGACAATTTCTCCCCCTTATATGTCTTCCATAACTTCTGTGAGGCCCCCAGGCCAGAACACTCTGCTTCTAGGCTGTCTTCGGTGTAAATTTCAAGCAGAGGTAACCCAGCTTTTCTATTCCTCAGGTTTTTCTGTCTGTTCCCATTTTTTGATTGACTATACTTCATTTCAGAATTTTTGTTAGGCTTTACTAGTCCTTAGACCTTTTCCAGGGATGGATAAAACTTCTAATACCTTCATTAAATCAGACCTTGGAATCTCAACTGCCCCCTAAATATATTTCCCAAATAAAAAGGTGGAGGAAAACTTTGTCTATTAATGTGGAATTTTATTGTCGAATCTTTGCTTTCTGTAAACATTTGGCCTATTGCTATATCATGATATTTGCATATTTAACAACAAGGCATTTATAGCACTTATTTTTTTGTCTTATGTTCTAGACACTGTCTTCAACTGCTACCCCTTGAGGTCCAAGATTGTATTATTTTAAATATCACGTAATACTATGATTACAGAAGGCAGATAGCACTTACTGAATAGTTGCCATATAACAGACACTGTGCTATGAAATTTTCTCATCAGACTGAGTTGAGACAAACTGGGAGTGAGAGTATAGACTTTGACAAAATGCATGAGCTTGTGACCCTCCTACGTATCTCTTTAAGTAACTAAGTGTACAAGGACACGTGGACTTTTATATTTTGGCTGAAGACAGAAGGACAGAGTTAGTAGGAAGACAGGAAGCGAGAAGGAGGAAATGGACAATGTGTGAGGAAGGCTTGGCATCTGTCCTCTGCTAGCTGGAGAAACAGGTTTTGTGGGTCAGAGAAGAGATGGTTTAGAACCAATAAGTGAAGAAGCAATGTTTATGGGGGAAGTTTTGTTCTTGGTAAGGAACAAAAAAAAGCCTGTTTCAGAGGCACACATAACAAAGTATGGGCCCAAACTGAGAAGAAAACAATTTACTTCCCAACTCTATCACAAACCATAGCGTAGCTTGAAAAATCAGGGAAGCCTTTAGCTGAGGAGGGCCGGGTCTGGGAGTAGAGTCCTCTCAGGGAGAGAAGGAAGAGGAAGTGATGACATGGCTCCATGGCAAGAACATGACATGAGACCGACATGGCGTTGGCCCTCAGAAATAAGCTGAGAGGAAAGTGAGGGGAGACCAGGCCAGGTAGTTGGGCTCCAGTGGCCATAAATGTATCATATTATCTCTTTTATTTCAGCAAGGAATAGGATCAGGATCAGGAGACATATGCATTACATCATCCAATTATTTAAAAAGACTTTTAAGAATAGGGTTATTATCCTCATTTTCAGAGAAGAAAGTAAGTGTTTAGGCAGATTAAACACTTATTTTAACTGTGTGACATTTCTCAAAGTCACACAGTTAGTTAACCAACAGTGGTCCTGGGATTCGAACCCAGCCTTGGTGGCTCCCCATACAGTCGTTCCTTATGACCACCCCACATCGCTTCCTCACTGCTTGGCACTAGCCTTATGATTGGTTGTGTGTTCCAGGTGGGAGTTAACCAGAATGAAAAATTTCTAACAGCTCGGGTTATCATTTATTTATTTACTGAAAGGCATCATGGAATTGTGGGAAGTCAGGCACACCTGAGCTCAAATCCCAGGTTTGAATGGTCTTTGAAATCAGTCACACCTGAGCTCAGATCCTAGCGTTGTCATTTATGAACTATCAGCCCTTGGGAAGGTTGCTTTTCCTTCCTGACCCTTGGTTTCCTTTTCCGTACAAAGGAATGTTAACATGTTTTTTGGATATCACTGTAAGGCTTAAATGAGTTAACGAATACACATCTCATATTACAAATGCCTAGTACATAGTAGATTCTCACTAAATGACAACTGTTTTTATTATTGGCAGTTCCTACAATTTTGCCTGAACTCCTTGCATCCAGGAGAGAAACCATGTGGAACATGTCAGTACAGAATACCAACAGACACATGTTTAGTGCTATCAATTCTCACATCATCATGCATCTTCCCTAACATGTCTTTTTTCCTTTTTTTTCCACTTCCATATAGAAAATAACATATGGGAATTGTTTTGACTCCTACTGCCAGGAACCAAATCATATCTTCTTTTTCTGTAAAAGGAAGGGCATGATACTGACATATATCTTTTATCTTGGCAAGAACCCACACTGCATGTTTATTGACATTTAAGAGTTCTTTCTTAAAGCATCTCACTCTATACCTAGAAAGTGTGTTTCTTTCACATGAAAGAACATCAAAGAGGCATTCCTGTATAAAATTTACTGAGCTTTTTCTTAACTATGGATTGTCATGAGACCATATGGCCGTAAATGATTTAGTTTTTCATGAAAAATGGTTTTAAATCAAAAATGAAACCTGCTAAAAAGAATTTGCATACTTGATGAAAAATAAAGGCAATAAAATGTTTAAACTGGCTGTGAGAAATGTACTGGGATTTCATAAGCAGCCCTTATATAATAAGGAAATGCATTTTCATTATGACTGTTGCATTACCAGTGTTATGGAAAGTTGGCCTCTTTAGATAGTAAGACAGAAATCTGGGACATAAATGGTGTTCACCTTAAGATTCAAGCCAATCTGGCATATCTGAAATATTAGTGAACTTAATATTATCTCATTTGTTTCAACAAGGAATAGGGTCAGGTGACATATACATTACATCATTTAATTCTTTCAAAATCCTTTTGAGAATGGGGTTTTTTAAAATTATGTTTATAGATTTGGTGATACAGGTGCAGTTCTGTTACATGGATATATTATATATTGTATAGTGGTAAATTCTGGGTCCTTAGTGTACTCATCACCCAAATAGCGTACATGGGGCCCAGTGGTAATTTCTCATCCCTCATCTCCTACCATTCTCCCACCTTTTGGGAATAAGGTTATTATCCTCATTTGCAGATAAGTAAATAAATGCTTAAACAGAGTCCATGTAAATGAGGGGCATACTTGGAAAATACTTAGACCAAGCTTATCCAACCCACGGATTGCAGGCTGCAAGGGACCCAGGACAGCTTTGAATGTGGCCCAAAACAAATTCATAAACTTTCATAAAACATTACGAGATTTTTTTGCATTTTTGTAGCTCATCAGCTATTGTTAGTGTTAGTGTATTTTATGTGTGGCCCAAGACAATTCATTTTTTTCCAGTGTGGCCCAGGGAAGCCAAAGATGGGAGTTAGACTAAAGGAAGAAATGAGGCAGTGGAATCAGGTGTTAGGAAAGGAGAGAGTCTGATTACAGCACTGTACACTTCATGAAGGACTGGGAAGCTGCATCTATAATCTAAGAGCAAGTAAACACCTAAGGAAGAGTTTGAGTAAAATCTCTCTGAGAAATTAAAAGTGAAAGTACCCAGCAACATCTAAGGCCATCTTGATCCAGATGTGACGGATAGTCTTGCTACCAGCATGAGCAACATAGGGGTGCTTTGAGAAAGCATCAGCTGAGAAAGGAGATGTCACCCACTAGAAAGAAGCAGAAGAGGAAAACGACCACTGCTATCTAATAGTGGGAAGTAAAAATCACATAAAACATTCCCTGAGGACTCAGAAGTATTTGGGAAGAGGCTGAGGGGATTGAAGTCCTCAAGGAATTGATGTGATAGAGAAAGAAATCATCATGATGACTTTAGCTTTACCCCAAATGGGTATCACAAGTTACACACTGAATTTCTTCCTACTTAAATAAGCTAATGAATCATGCCACAAGATGCAATTCATAGTTGTGCATTTTCTTTAACAGGTGCAAGCAGATTAACACATATCTAAAGCTCATTTTGCCATTGTTCTTTTTGAATTAGTATTGAGAGGCAACATTGAGACACTATGAAAAGGAAAAGGTAGAATACAATGTGGGAACATAGCAATACGCACGGACAAAGATTTCATGATGAAAATGCCAAAAGCCATAGCAACAAAAGCAAAAACTGATGAATGGGATCTAATTAAACTAAAGAGCTTCTGTACAGCAAAAGAAACTCTCTTTTGAGTGAACAGACAACTTACAGAATGGGAGAAAATTTTTGCAATCTATCCATCTGACAAAGGTCTAATATCCAGAGTCTACAAGGAACTTAAACAAATTTACAAGAAGAAAACAACCCCATTAAAAAGTGGGCAAAGGACATGAACAGACACTTCTCAAAAGAAGACATTCATGTGGCCAAAAAACATGAAAAAAAGGTCATTATCACTTATCATTAGAGAAATGCAAGTAAAACCACAGTGAGATACCATCCCATGCCAGTCAGAATGGCGATTATTAAAACATCAAGAAACAACAGATGCTGGCAAGGCTATAGAGCGTAAATTAGTTCAACCATTGTGGAAGACAGTGTGGCGATTCCTCAAAGATGCAGAAACAGAAACATCATTTGACCCAGCAATCCTATTACTGGATATATACCCAAAGGAATATAAATCATGCTATTATAAAGATACATGCATGCATACATACACTGCAGCACTATTCACAATAGACAAGACATGGAGTCAACCAAATGCCCATCAATGATAGGCTGGATATAGAAACCGTGGTACATATACACTATGGAGTACAATGCAGCCATAAAAGGGAACAAGATCATGTGCTTTGCTGGGACATAGATGGAGCTGGAAGCTGTTATCCTCAGCAAACTATGGCAGGAACAGGAAACCAAATGTCACATATTCTCACTTATAAGTGGGAGCTGAACAATGAGAACACATGGACACCTGGTGGTAACAACACACACTGGGGCCCGTGGCGGGTGATGGAGGTAGGGAGAGCATCAGGAAGAATAGTTAATGGATGCTGAGCTTAATACCTGGGTGATGGGTTGATCTGTGTAGCAAAGCACCATGGCACATGTTTACCTATGTAACAAGCCTGCACACCCTGTACATGTACCCTGGGAAAATCAAAGATGAAGAATAACATGTGGCAATTGTTACCTAAGTTGGAAAGAAGCTTATTTGTCACATTACTGCATCAATTGGATAACATTTGCTCCTTGCAGTGAGGTTCATTCTGTGTCATTCAAGAGGCTATTCAATTGTTACCACCAGGATTGTACATAATTCCATCAAAACATGCACACTGGGCTGGCTCCATGCTGGAAAATTCTTCAGAATGCAGCCATCCTGGAATAGATTCGAGGCACCTGGGTCAGCCACACAGACTCTCAAAGAAGACGAATTATTCCTGAGTCAGTTTCCTAAGCTTCACAGTCCACTTTTGAAAGAAATGGTTAGAATACTGCATCCTTGCCCTACATCTTGAAAACAATAGTTTATTTGTGCCAAATGTTTATTTCTTTAAATTTGTTATCTTTTTGTAGCCCTCTAGATTTAAGAGATATCAAGACATGAAAAATCACATAAAGCGATCCTCTGCCTCAGTCTCTCGAGTACCTGGGACTTCAGGCATGTGCCATTGAGCTCCTCTTTATTTTGGTTTTAATAACATTATTACTTTAAAATACTTTTATATTTACAGAACAGTTGCAAAAATAGTACAGAGCATTCCCGTATACCCCTCACCCAATTTCTCCTAATGTTAACATCTTTCATGACCATAGTGCACTTGTCAAAACTAACGAGCCAACATTGTTGTGTTACTATTAACTAAACCTGACTTTTTATTAGAATTTCACTAGTTTTTTCCTAATCTCCTTTTTTTCTGTTCCAGGATTCCATGCAGAATACCACCTGACATTTAGTCACTGTATCTACTTAGCTTCCTCTTAACTGTACAGTTTCTTGGACTTTTCTTGTCAATAACCCTGAAGTTGTATTGTAACCCTCCAGTTTGACATGAGGTTCAATAATATTCCAGCAAAAGAACAATATTAGATTATAATCTTTGTAATATTTTTCTGAACTATGGTGAGTCCTGACAGAGTCAGTCCTTGCCTCACTCCCAGGCTTCCTGAACCAATCAACTCTTTGGCCCACCCTGAGTGACTTTGTAACAATGGCCCCCAGAAATCTAGCATCATAAGCTCCCTATGACTTAAGCATCAGTAACAGCTTTTTATTCAAAAACACAAGAAAGAACACAACCTGTGAGTCAAAGCAGAATTGTTGAGGGTACTTATGGAGACAAGTTACATCTTTCAAAGACTGCTCAAATCCTGCACATGTTAAGCTTTAAAAGATTTGTTTACCACCAGAGTAATGAAGTGGAAAGCACTAGGTTTGGTATTCAGAAACTCGCAGTGCATTTTCCACTTACAATCTGTGTGGTTTCAATCCTAGCACTTAACCTCAATAATTCCATATATACCAATCTGTTATTATAACTCTCTAACGTGATGATATATGTAAAGAATTTTTGTGACCTCTGTAGCCTGATATACAAATTAATTTTGTTGGTCATCATTACTCCTATTGCAGTTTAAAGCACTTATAAACTAAAAAGATTTCATGCATGTGGTAATTTTCTACTTCAAATTTATTTTCTTAGTTAAGTCCGATTTTAGAACAGCTGTGAAAACTATTTTGGTCTTCATAATAAAATATTGACATCCTACTGCTGCCATTCAGTGCTTACGATGTACCAGGTACTTACTTCACATTTGCTGCAACCCTATGACATAGTTAATGACATGATTTCCATTTTAAATATAGAGAAACTGAGGTCCAGAGAGGTTTATAAAACTTACTCAAGGTTACACAGCAAGTAAGTAGAGGAACCAAGAAATGAACTCAGCCTGGCATTAAACCACCCATGTAGGCAGAGACCTCGTAGCCTAATCATCTCTTAAAGGCCCCACCTCCCAATGCTATTACATTGGCAATTAAATTTCAACATGAGTTTCGGAGGGAACACTATGCAAACCATAGGAGAGGATTATTATTAATACAACCTATTTCATTTGGTTACTGTGAAGATTAAATGAGATACAATGTGTGGTGCGGGGCAGGAACTGAAGCTTTAGCATTACTCTGTGTAGTGCCTAATACAGTTAGGAAGCCAGGTTGCCTGGGGTTGTATCCTGGCTTTGTTGTTACTGTTGTGTGACCTGGGGCAAGTTTGTTAACTCTCTGTACGTGTCTCCTCATCAGTAAAATGGACATAATTTTATTATAAAAATTGAATAAGCTAATGTTTGTGCAGTGCTGAGAACAGTGCATGACACATAGGTTTGTTATGAGCCGATTACACGAGTCAGTGGACACAAGAAGCACTCACAACGTGTTAGCTACTATTATTATTGCCTGAAACTGGAGCCTAATGCTTCTGGCATTGCTTGAGCAAGAAATGAACAATGAACCTTGAGGCTGGTTCCAGACCTATCAGGAAACCAGGTTTTTGGCTCAGGCCTGCCAGCAGAGGTCATCGACCGGAGAGATTAGTTACTACCTCCAGGTGTTGTTGACCCTTGTTCAAAATAAGAAGGAAGAATGTATCCAAAGAAAGAGGCAGCAATTTACCACAAATCTCCAAAAGCTTCATTTTAATTTTAAGAGGGCTTTCCTGAGCTTGGGAAAGAAGTTTGACTACTTCTGCCACAGATCTTTATTCACCTGTTAGCATGACTTTATATCCGTTCCGTTGCCATAACAAGAGGAGCCACTCCATTATTAAAGTATAGTTACATTACCCAGTCACAAATGCTGCAGTTTTACATAGGTACAAAAATTGCATTTATTTACAACTGGGGCTTGAATAAATCAGACAAAAGTGAGATGATAACTTTTTTCCCAACACATTCACATATAATTACCAACTAAAGAAGCCCTTTCAATCTATTTGCTCTATTTTTACCTAGCATGTAGGATAATTATTGTCTGGGATATTGTGATGTACTGAACCATATAAAAATAATTCTTCAAAGAAAACCTCTGCAAACCATTGAGCAACATGAACAGGACTCTTGTCACAAACAGAGACTGACAAGCCAATCTTTGGCATTTTTACACAATGTTGAAAATCAGTTTGAACTGGCAGGTGTAAAGTTCCTAGATTCACACTTGACAGAATAATTCAGTACTGATACTTTGTGACTGATAATAGGCAAAAGGTGTGCAACAGACAATAGCCCTACAGGAGAGAATAAAGTTTTGTTCAAGAGCTGATAAAATATAAATATTTTATATAAAGCTTCTCAACAGCTTAATGCACATAGAATTCCATTACCATAATACAGCAGATTATTTTGAAAACATCACAAAACAAACACAGCATAATTCTCCAGACCGATGAAAATATCCATCCCACACATGCCTCCTCCAGGCTTCTCTGACTTCCTAGTTGGCAAATATTTACAAAAGTAAAAACTTGCCTTTCCATGTTTCTGTAAATTCTACTCCTTTACCCCTCCAATGGTGCCCACCCAACAGAGAAGTATGCCAGACATCTCTGCCTTCCCTTGCTTGCACGTGATATTCTGTAATAACTCCAAATCAATAATGGACTTCATTTTCCTCTCTCTTTTTTATAAGGGAGAGTCATCCAGTAATTGTTTTAAAAATCCATTGAGTGGAATAAACTTTTTGTCACTAAACACCTAAAAGATTCCTTGGAACACTTCTGGTCAGGGATAGCCATCTGATGTCACATGACCAACAAATCAATCACACTTCAGTCTAGCTGGGTCCAGGGGCTTTTTACCCAATCGAGCCTCCAAAAGTATGTCCTAGGACAGTGCTTCTCAAACTGTAATGTGCATGCACGTCATCTGGGTTCTTGCTGAAATGCAGACTCAGATTCACTAGGTCTGAGATGAGACCTGAAATTCTGTATTTCCATTAGGTTCCTATGTGATGCTAATGCAGCTGGTTCAAGGACCGCACTTTGAGAAACAAGGCTGTAAGAGAGGCAGAACAACTGAAGATAACTAGAGAGAACACCTGTCTGAAACACACTAATGTTTCCTTTGCATAAAACCTATATCCTCAATATATTGAATATTTTTAATCTTAGAACAGGAGAGTGGAGTGGTCACCTTTGCTTTTGGCAGATGGGATAAACTGAAAAATGTTTATTTTTATCCTTTTTAGACAAAAAGGGCCAAGTAAGGAACAGCAGGATCCAAAAGACAGAAAGACAGAATTTTCTTTTCTAACCTAGAGCCCTTGTCCAATGCACCAGCACCAGCATTTTTTTTTTTTTTTTTTTTGAGACAGAGTCTCGCTCTGTCGCCAGGCTGGAGTACAGTGGCACAATCTCGGCTCGTTGCAACCTCCATGTCCCGGGTTCAAGAGATTCTCCTGCTTCAGCCTTCCAAGTAGCTGGGACTACAGGTACGCGCCACCATGCCCAGCTAATTTTTGTATTTTTAGTAGAGATGGGATTTCACCATGTTGGCCAGGATAGTCTTGATACCTTGACCTTGTGATCTGCCCGCCTCAGCCTCCCAAAGTTCTGGGATTACAGGCGTGAGCCACAGTGCCTGGCCCAGCACCAGAATTTTACTTCCCTCTGATGGATAAGGGAACTCTCTGCTCCAAAGTGGTATGTGCCATGTTACAGCTCTATCCCATACCCAGAAACCACAAAGACTGGCATGCTAATATTTTCATTTAGGAAAATGTTTAATTTTGTAGGAATAAATGAAGACATGAAGTTGTGGATAGTTAGCATTGATTTCATTATAAATAAAATTACTTATAAAATCATTCACAGAAAACAAGGCTTTCAAACTAGGGCATGTTATTAGAAGGAAGAAACATTTCACTACTACATGTCTTAAATATTAAGTAGACTCTCTGGACTGCCTAAGGGTACCTGGTATATACCATTTGATTTTATTGCTCCTCAGTGATTCCAAGGTGACTGGCTCATCAGGAACTCATAAAAGAAAGCTGGGGGCTGGCTCCCCTACATCTACCAGGGTTCTGATGGGGACCCCAGAGTTCCACGTGATCACTCCTAGGTGTGACATTCTTTGGGCAATTACTTGCTCAAACTCTTATTTGTTTGTGCTTGTTAATGTATTCAACTCAATCCAGCAAACATTTATTGAGCATTATTATCAGGCTCTAGGGGACATAAAGATAAGTAAGCCTTGATTTTTGTATTCACGGAGCAGATAATCATGTGGATTATTTTATAAATGCTATTCTGTTGAAATGTGTGCTTTTGTTGTCTTGTCTTGTTTTCCTCACCAACTAGGGTGTAGGCTCCTTGAAAGTGACGGTCTTTTCTTAATTATCCTTGTGCTCAATACTTGTGGAGTTTCTAGTCAGGAAGTTATAGCATGACTCCAGGAGAAAAATCAAGTTTGCTGGAAGCAAGTTTGCTTTCCCTCATGATCGTAGTCTACCCCCATGTCTACCTATTGACAGGAAATCAGGGCATCCCCAGCCCAGGGTGGGGAAGAAAAAGGAAGAAAGAGCCTTGAAAAAAAAAGCATCGTCTTCCCTAATGTCCAGCAAAGGGTACCTTGAATTAACTTTTTATCTTCTTTGTTAAAATCTAAGGCTTGGCTGTTTAAAGTTTTCTATTTCTGTTTTTGTTTTTGCAACAGTTTGTCTCATGGGACATGCCATGAGTACCAGTTGACAGCAACACCAACAACAGTACTTATATGCTAGGTACCATTCTAAGAACTCTATAAATATTACCTTGTTTAACCCAAATAGGTCTATGACATAAGTTCTTATTTAGGAACTGAGCGAATTAAGGCACACAGAGATTAAGTAATTTGCCCAAAGTAACACAGTCTTCTGAGGAAGAGTATCGTCATGACTTGGGACTTCATCCTCTGGCAGTAAACTTATTACAGCCAAGAAAGAGAAAAAGAAATGTAAAGTAAAGTCAATTTCAGTGCATTCAAACGTCTTCCTGCAAACCATCCCCCCAGGTCTTTCTTATAGGAATACACACTTGAATAACTCAATTCCATTTTCAATATCAACTGCACTTTCTCAAGACATAGGCCCCCAAAGAACTGTAAGATTCCCCTGTGTAGCCTGTGACACACTACAATAACTCTGTTTGTCGATGTGATTTTTGGATTAATACACATTAGCATGTTGGGTGGTAAACTTCATGAAGACAAGGCCTGTGTGTCACACGTGCTACCACAGTGCCTGGGCCACAGGAAAGGCTCCACGATTTTTTTTGGATTCAAAAACAAATGAATCCTCATTTTAGAAATGAGTGAACTGAGGCCCAGAGATGTGAAAAATAACTTGCTCAAGCTTAGAGAACTCCAATGAGATAGACTAAAGAAGGCTTTGTACTTTGCTTTTCCCAATTTTGAAGCCCACTTTCCATTCCATACCACATTTTACACTATCCATCCATTAATGAGAACATTTTTTTCCTGAATGGAGTCATTGCAGTATTTACAGAATGCAAGTGGCAAGTGATATATATATGAGATACTGGGACATAAATTGAAGGATCTTTTGCCTTACTGAAGGTTGCAGAAACATTTGTATTTAGTAAATGGCCTTTTTTTTTTTTTACACACCACATTGCAGTTCCAGGAGTTTTGAAAATGCTCCCAGTCAAATACCTCAGGCTGCAGATTTATTTAAATGCGGTAGAGTTCTCTTATTCTTTTTAACATTTTTTTTTTCAGTTTATAACAGTATCTTTCACCTAGTAGGGATGTAATACATATTTGGGAAACTAAATTGAAAAGACTACCTTCAAAGCAAAGACTTCTTTAGGTTTAAGATATTGTTGATAAAAAAAAATTGTAATACTGACACTTGAGGTTGATTGCTCAGTCTACTTTTTCATTTTATGGGAACCATTTTTATATCTGAAAATGATATTCCTAATAAGGACATAGCAAAAAACAGCACCAGGCTTTCTATTAATGGCTTAGGAATAATTTAAATAGAAGTCAGCACAGTATTACATTGTTAAGCTTTATTCAAGAATTATAGGAAATATGTTATTAGGTTCACTTAAAGTCTAAGCTGAAGAATTCTCCCTTGGAAGACATTTCCTGATTAGACCTGAATTGTTTTTCTATGTCACCACAAAGACAATGCAAATGCTGATTAAAGCAATTAAAACTTTCCTTTGTTTGCAGAAAGAGATGTACCCAGATATGGCTTTTTGTTTGTAGACATCTTAATAAGCACTAGCAGACTGAAATGAAATCTGTCATCAGTTATATTTTTCTCTTAGACAAACTGTCTACTTCACATACATATTAAGCGAGATTTGTTACCAAAGCTTCCTTATATTTCTATTTGTTGTTGTAAAATGGTAAATGTAGAAATAACACTAGATCTATCAATTTGATAATATAATGCAATACATCTGGCAGCTGAAAGGGAAAAAAATGTAATGACATATTTGGCATAGTGAATGGTTTTTATTATGGGATTTTTTCTTTCTTTTTAGCACAATTGTGCCATTTGTTGCAGACTAATGTCAAAGAGTAAAAAGTATTATTGGGGATCGGGAATTTAGCTTTTATACAACATAAATTGACTGCCATGTAAATATAAACATCAGTCTTATTGCTTGTTAAATATTTATTTACTGAAACGATTTGAACAGGAAAGCTTGCTGAAGGGAACCATGTCTGTTTTTAACTATATATTGCTGAATTCTTTTATAAATTTGGCTTTTCTTCTGCTTCATATTTACAGTTTTACATTAATTCTACTGTAGAATGTTTAAAAATATAAGAACAAAATTTCTAGAATGTGTGGAAATCAATTCTAAAAATCTAGGGTAACTAAAATTTTATTTGCTTTCATAGCAATGTAAAGACACTATTTTAATGAAATTAACTTTGTAGTAGCATAAAGGGACATCACTGATTCATTCATTCACTCAAATGTTCTTCAGACTTTTCCTGACCTCCGTGTGTCAGGCATCGGGCTTGCTTCTGGGGGCATAAATGTGAATGAGCCACAAGAAGCCCAGCCTCGCTAGGGAGACAGATACATATTAGGTGTTGGGTATTATAATAGAGAAGCTTGCTGTGTGTGCCCATAATACATAAGCAAAACAAATCAAGGTAAGGCACTAGGAAAAACTGTCATTAACTTATTTCCATTTCTTGGAAATAAATAAAAGATAATTATGAAGTAATCTATTATATTACTAGAGCTCTTATGGCCTTAAGAATGTTAAATCAGAAAGTATCAGGGTTGCTTGCATGGAGATAAGTTTGAGATTTGAACTGCAAAGGGGAGTCTTCCTTGCAAATAGGCTTTGAATCACCCACTCCAGTTTTCTCTAGGCCTGGGAGCATGCTGGTGCAGCAGAAAGAATCCAGCTACTGATAGAGAGATGGCAAACGCTGAGTACAGAAAGGCATAGAAAGCAACATATTGCACAATCATTAGCAGAATGAAAAGGCGAAGATTAAGGACTGTGTGACTGCAAGTTAGGCTGTAATGCTAGAAGTGGACATCTCAGAACAGACAAACCTGGGAGGGAGGAGAATCAGTGGGGCCCAAGAAGACAATCCAGTCTCTACATTGAACAATTCCCTTAGACATACCAAAAAGGGCTATCACTTCCCTTCATAAGAAGAAATCAAAGGTGATTATCAGGGCTCAACATGTATCCTTCTTAGTCTGATGAATATAATAATGTAGAACAATTATATGATAATTTCAGAATATGGGTGGATTTGTTTGGCATCTTCATAAAATCACAAATAACATAAACCATGAAATCCCAGACACCTGGAGATTAGGTGATCTCCATGTTGTTTTGGAGGCCAGATTTATGTGCCAATTGTGAGAAAAATCAGAAAAATGATCAGTACGGAATTCTGTAAAGGACTTATTTCTATTAGTGTGCCATATAATTCATGTTTCATAGCAGAAAATGAATGAGAGATATAAAATGTATCTGATTTATTTAATCCATATAAGTAGTCATTCTGGAAAACTATTTCCTACACAAATTTTATGATTTTAAATGAACATAAACACACCATGGTTATTTTGGGTGCCCCTTGTAGACTCAGCCCAAGTTTCACTTCTCTCAATGGTGCAATGGTCAAGCAGAAAGAGAACAAGATGGAACAAGAGGTTTGTATCACACCTGTCCCATTGTTGCTGAATTGTGGACAAGGTACTTGGTATCCCTCAACCTCAGGGTTATCATCTGCAAATTAAAGCAAATAAAACTAATATTTACCACAAAGTTTGTAGTCAGTAGTCAATAAAAATAACACTATTATTAGTTTTTATATACGTTTTTAAGAAAACTGGTTAAATAATATATAATCAGTGAAAAAAAACACTTTGAAAGCTGAAATGTGCCTTGTAACACACTCTGAGTTGCTACTAGTAAATGTTAATTCTACAGAAAAATTAGATAACTACACTGAATTTCAGTGTTACAGTGTAAAGCTGGGGATAATAGAGTTATACGTTAGAGGAAATTATACATGCAAACATCTAGGAGAGTCTCTGAACTTATAGATCCTCTGAAATGTAATTGATCCTAAACTGAACATAAAATTTATTGAATAGTTAATAAAAACATATCACGTGTCTAAACTCAACTCACCCTTTGAGCATCCAGGTTATTGTTCATTGGCAAATATCTTTTGCTTTTCTATTGAAATAAAAACAGAAAAAGAAAACCTTTAGGAAAAACAAACTCAATATGCATTAGAGAAACATCTGTATGTACCTTATAATCAATATAATTAAAATACCAAATACTGAAAATTATAATAAATAACTGAGCTCAGTTTTGGGACGGTCTGTTAATAAGTATATGTGTGTTTATGTGTTGAAAGAAACATGAAAGGATATACATCAGTATATTAATAGAGGTTGTTTCTGAGAGATGAGTTTTTTCAACTATTTATGTTATCGAAAACTTTTACAATAACTTGTCCTAGATTAATAATTTTTAAAAGGCTTTTTGTATTTTTAGGAGTATTTTTGTGATAAACTTTCTAAACAGTTTTCTGAAAACAAATTGTTAATGTAAACATTCTTATCTGATTACCATCAATAGTTACATAAGCAACTAATGAAATTATAATTTGAAACTGTAGAATAAATCGTTTGGTTTAATTTTAAGTAACTTGTTTTAAAGATGTTTTTGAAATAAATGGTTTTAAGTGTTTTAATTGTCAAGTCCACCAATAGCCACAGATTCTAGAAAGGTTTAGTGTATTTAAAGATTAACTGCTTAGCCTTGCTAGACAAATAGCATTCAGAATTTAAGTGTATTATTTTTTCCCTGATTTGATCACAGACCTAATTTGGTAAAGAGGTCAGTACTTGGCACATTTGAGCAAATATCAAAATGGTATTGGATATTTATAGAACTAAATTAGATGTTAAACAAATGGAAATTATAATTTAGAGAAAGAAAAAGACAAGATATTTATAGCTCGTTGAGTACAATAAGAGTCTTTTACTTTTTACTGGAAAGCGATTTTTAAAAACTGTCATTTGAAAAATAAACCACTTAAAATATCTAATAAATTATTTTTACCTGAATTATGGAGATTTTAAGTTAACTTTGTGAATATTACTGAAATACTATTCTGAGTTTTCTTCACCATAGGGAAAATTTGATCGGAATGTCATTGAAGTGATGTTGAGTCAGTGAACACTGAGGTTGAATTGCTCGGGTCAACTTCTGAGCCTAGAGCTTAATTTAACCTTCCAAAGAAAGTTCTTAGATTTGCCATAGTTTCCATTGTGTCTTGCTGTAGTCTACAAAGGAATCTAAACCTCTAAGCAGGAGTACCCACCACTAACTTATTCTCTAGAATCAGGATACCTCCCACATTGTAAAGACATTGATCTTGAAGAATTTCAATTCTCTGTGCTTTCGTTTCAACATGGGGCCTAAATGTTAGCCAACTGACTCACTGGGTGTCCAGCAGTGTTCCAGAGCTAGATATGACAGACACACCATGAAATGTACAATATTCTCTTTTTTGGAGAACTTAAGAGATTTTGAAGTTAATTTAGACTACAGGCAGTATTTATTGTGTGTGATGATTTTGGATCTCAGTCTCTGAGTAAGATGTGACTCTGCTAATACAGCAAACTCTTCAAAGCTCTGAGTTTCTCTTAAGCAAATTCTATTGAACCCAGCAAATCATTTACTCAACAATGAGAATTTTATCTCCAGTATATGAAACTTTTGAATTTCTTCTATTGATAACAGAGAGACACGGAAGTGAGTACTAGGAAGAGTAAAAGAAGAACAGTAAGCCCCACCTCAAAGGAAATGGTTAAAGATTTTTGCCTTAGGACATATAAAGAAAACTAAAGGAACCTAAAAAACTGGGCCTTTTAATATATTCCTGGAGCTGAACTGTTTGCAGAAGGGGCTTGAGCTGTTAGGGGAGTCTCTTTAGAGAGAGAATTTGAGAAATATCTTTCAGCACGTCAGGAAAGTTAAACAGAGGTTACCCAAAGCTTTGTTAAATCTCAAGCATCCAAATTACTTTGCATTTCTGGGATTTGGAGGCAGCAGTCAACACTTCTGAATCTTAAAACTAGGAAGGCGTTAATGTTTGGTTTGGAGACCAGAGTAGAAAAAAATATCTGTGAGAATACAACTTCATGAAATAAAGCAAAATAATTTATAAGCATTTTAAAGTTCTGGGAAGGCAGAAGCTAGACTATTTCTCAGGAGCAAGAAATGAAATATACAGTAGTCTCTAATATTACTTTATTTGTATAAACATTTTAGTGTTTGTGCAAACATTTACAAAGACTTTCATAGAGTCACTCTCAGCCACAGTGCAATAACATTTTTTTTGATCCCAGAAGTATTTGAACCACAAATGATCCTACCCCAAGGGTTTTCAGAAACAAAACTGGGTGTTAGGCAGTGTCTCCTGCACCTAACATAGGAAGAAGGACTTTTCGTATGTGAATAAAGGAAGAGAGTATTAGTTAATGTGTCATAAGGAATGCTCAGGCGCTTATGCTGGCTCACCATTGCAGCTATGGAAATGTCAAGTCAAGGTCATTTGGGTTTTCAAGGTTTTTCTTCAGGTCTACCAAACTTGTCCTCATAGCTACTGAAGCCTCTCATTGTGTTTATTCTTGAACTTCTAAAGCTTTATAACCTA
Source organism: Homo sapiens (assembly GCF_000001405.40). Lineage (NCBI taxonomy): Eukaryota > Metazoa > Chordata > Mammalia > Primates > Hominidae > Homo > Homo sapiens. The sequence continues at coordinate 72,171,010 of NC_000013.11, read as the reverse complement.
GCTACTTCCTATTAGTCCTATGCTGGAACTGAACTTCTTGCTGTTCTCAAACTAGTTAGTGTCTTGGAACTTCACTAAAGTCTCTTTTATAGACTGGTAACTGTAAGATTCTGCCCCGGGGCCTGAAAGCTTAAGGGGATGAGTAACTCCTCCCTTCTCAGGTCCAGCCGCAAGTCGCAAGGCAGCTTGCCTCAGCAGCGTGCACCAGCAAGATAGCAGAAGCAGGAAGAGAGCTGGCCGGAAGACATGTGCCCCTAAAGATCCAGAAAGAGGGCATCCGGGTACAACGTAGCAGTTACATGACTAGGGCACTTCACGTTTACAGGGGACTATAAAATCTTTGCCCTGTCCTCACTTGCTGCTGACGCCATTTTAGGCCTTAACCCGCCTGCACCCAGGCGCTCATTAAAACAGCATGTTGCTCCACATTGCCTGCTGTTGTCTGTTGGCGCGCTCTCGGGTTCGAACCAATACAGGAACCTTACAGGAACATCCCCTTAACTGTCCCCAGGACTGTGAGTATCAGGCAAGAACAAATCAACAATCCTTCTGGCACCCAGCATTCATTTCTGTTTGTTCTGCTTTGCCATTGGTGGTTCAGAGTGTCATGATTGTAAACTTCTTCCTCCATCTCTTCCAACTTCAAACCTCAAATTCTAGGAAAATGTCCAGAGCAGCTAGAGTCCTAGCACAATATCTTTTGCTAAAAAATAAAAAATTAAAAATTACAATGTAAATCCTCCTGCTGGTGGAACTGGCTTCTGAGAATGACAAATTTAACTTTTCTATAGCACATGGTTTCCAGGAATAATAATCATAATAACCTTTTAAAAAAGTTTTATAATATACCTTTCCCCACACATGACTATTATAGGCAGAAATTTTACATAATTTAAAAATTCCCCTGATTCAATATTCACTTTCTTTCTTTTGTATGAAAGTCTTGGAGGGCATTGAATTTAACAGGAAAATGAAAAAAGAAAACCAACAAATGTATTGATGTTATTATTTAGCTTCCCCCATCGATTTCTTTTCATTTTTTCCACAGTAGTTCTTTTTCTTTTCAATTGTGAATGTTAATTGAATAAATCGTTCATTAGACTTGAACAGACAATTAGACAAATAGAATTAGACAATTTTTGTAATATACCTACCTCTTATATAACGTTCAGACTATGATTCAAACACCAAATTGGCTGAGAAAGTAAGACAGAATCATCCTATTTCATGTCGTAGTTGGTGTTACCAATTAATAGAGATAATCCAAAGAGTCAAGATTTGAAGAAAAAAGATTTTAAAATTACATTAAAACAAATCTTTAGTTAGAATTGTTAGTAACACCATTTTTCCCCTGGACCAATCCTCCAGGTTCGATTCAATGCTAGAACTATCCTTAATTGGTTGGAGTTTGTTCCAGAATCTGAACAATAATTATTATTCTCTCTCCTGAGAAAGAATATGACAAACAGTAAGCTATCTCTACCCTCCCAAAGATATCAAGTGGATAGTAGTGGTCAAATCACTTGATCCTACAGGGTGACACACAGTGGAATGATAGGTGTTACTGAACTGAACTTGGGTTCACACACCCGGCACAGGAAAACCAAACACTGACATCAGGATTGCAGCAAGAGAAAGTGAAGCATTTATTGCAGGGCACCAAGCAAGAAAAATCGGACAGCTAATACTTAGGACCTGAACTCCCTCATGGCTTACAGGTAAGGGTTTTGAAAGGCCGGGAGGCAGAGGTTGCAGGCAAAGTCATAAATCAGTACCTACAGACTATCCATTGGTTTGACCTAAAAGGGTAAGACGTCTCAAGGTAGGAGTCCACAGGTCATAGGTGAGTTCAAAGATTTTCTTATTTGCAATTGGTTAAGGAGGGAAAGTTTTGTCTAAAAATTTGGGGTCAGATGAAAAGAACCTTAGCTCTGGCTCATGGGTGTGACCTCATCCAGGCCCCTCTGGAAGAAATTTAGAACAAAGAATAGTGGTCAGAGTTCAGTCCTTAGTTTTCCCTTGTTAACGCGAACTAAATATGGCCTGAGAAGTACTCCATACATCTATATATAAGTACGGAGAAGGACTCCTTACTTCTATATTTGAGTCCTTGTGAATCAACTGCAACCTAGCTAATAGGCAGACAAGATTGAAAACTTAACTTAGTAATGTGCGCCTGTAACAATAGCTGAGACTTGGCCAATCCTAGCGGCCTTACTTCAACCACTCATACCCTGCTGAGTGTTCAAACTGTGTTCAAATAAGGCAAAGGCTGAGCTATAACCAATCTAGTTGTTCTGTACCTCACTTCTCATTTCTGTAGGTCGTTCCCTTTTTATGTCTATAAATCTTCTTCCACCACGTGGCTGCACTGGAGTCTCTGTAAATCTGCTGTGATTCTAGGGGCTGCCCATTTCGCGAATCATTCATTGCTCAATTAAACTCCTTTAAATTTAATTCAGCTGAAGTTTTTCTTTTATCGCCCTTATCTTAGGTCCACATGCCAGCAGGTCTGTTAGTTGGGGGTGTGGGTTTCTGAAAAACAACTCAGGGACATATGCTAAGATGTTATCTTTAGTTTCTGTAGGGAAACTAAACTTCCCATGATTCTAACTTCCTTGGCCATTGTTTCATGCTACCCTTACCTTCTTGCTTATCAAGTAACTCATTTACTTTTCAGAGCTAGCTAGGTGCCTGGAATTTCCCTTGAAGGGATTCAAGATTTTCCGTTATTTTCATGCTTGAGGTGTGGGGCTTAGGATCTCCTAGGAAGCTCTGAGAAATGCAGCATTCTGGGCTGGGCTCTCCTCTTGTGGCTCACTGTTAGCCATATGTCTTGGAGTTGATGGCATCTAATAGGGCTCTCACTAGCAGCTCTCAGCACTGGCTGCAGTCTGTTTTTCTGGTCAACCATCTCAGGAAAATGGTATTTGGATCATTTCTGATAACCTTCCGTTCTGCCATATATCTGGTCACACCCTTTGCAGCTGGACATCATAACTCATCCAGGATGGTGCAAGGTAGTTCATAAAATCTGTGCACTAAAATCTCTTGATGATGTAATTTTATTCTGTTCTTTCAAGGATTTTATTCAGATCCCCTAGAGCTGTGTTTGGGAAGCAAACACTGTAAAAGCCCATACATCACCTTCCTAGCCGGTCCTCTTTGCCTGTCCTGGGGCAGGCCTAGAATCTCCTGTACCTCTCCTTTCACTTAGACTCCATTTTCGGTCCTTAGGTGTGTCTTCTGGGGAACTACTGCCATCTCATATTACTTCAGTCTAGCAGTTTCCAATCACAGGTGTTTAGGCTCCTTGGCAACTGCTACCAATACCACTTAATTTGTCCTCCTATAGAGTCTGGAAGTACCTAGGCAAATCAAGTCTCTAGAATAGCTGAGAATATTTCAGCCTCCTCCAAGGTAAATGTGCCAAGCTAAGCCAACTAAAGATCCTGGCTTTCCTAATCTAGGTAACAGCAAACACATGGTGATGGATGGTAAGAAGCAAGTTCTGAAGAAAATAAAGTTGCTTTTGGTTGCTATTTTTGTGTAAAGAAAGATAAAGACACCTGTGCCTTAGAGCTCTGAGCCAAGCTTTCCCAGCACAAGTGTAGACAAGATAGAGCAAGAAGCTTTACAGTATAACCTCCCTCCCTCCCGCTGCTGCACTCCCAGTCTGATAGGCAGGTTTATCTTCAGTTTGAACATTGGCATTTGTGAATCTCTCAATTAGATTCCTCTCTTATTAATCCTTGATTGAGGGACTGCTGCATGCATAGGAGAATGAACACAGTATCTTAAAGTGGAGGAAGAGGGGATGAAGAATGAATATTGCTTTTCTATTTATGAATTTCTTTATTTGCAGGCAGGCAGACTTTGCTGTGAATGAAGAGAAGAATTATGTCTGTGCTTTGGCTCCTTTACTAAAAGCGAAGTTTTCCTGTTTTTTTGTATAGTTTTCCTAATTTTCAGATAAAGTATTTTATATTTTTGCAGTCTTGACAATGTAACATGTTGAGCTTCAATGAAGGGCACCACTGCCTGGGAAAAACCAAATCCAAATTAGAGTAGTACTGTTTCCTCTTTTGAAAAGTGGGAGCATGATAATCAGATATCAAAAGGTCATTGTAAGGGATAAATGAAATGACGTACATGACAACAGCCAACGTAATGCCGGGCACACAGTGACAGTAAAAATTAGAACTGCCTCTGAATGTTGCTTCTTTAGTCTGCCACCTTCTAAAAGCCAGAAGTTTACATTTTTCTTATAGTGCTGATATATTATGCAAAGAGCATGTGCTAAAATGTTTACAAGCCTGAAAGATGGACACCACACCTGTACACACATTATACTAAAGCATGAAAGAATGAAGGGCTAGTTTCATTACATCTCCTCTAAATAATCCAAAATTCTTTTTTTTTTTCCAGTGCTTGTAAGAATTCCCACTATTATTAATTATCCTTCTGTTTGCTTTTCATTTTCCTGTCTCTTCCCCAGGGCAAGTGACTCAGCTAAAACTCACACAAGTTAAAAATACACAGACTCAGAACTATTGGTGACAACATTTCTACCTCATATAGCTAGATACTACTCAGGGAATCCCTCAACCCCAAGGAAATTTCTTGATCAACGAGTAAACGTGAGAGATGTGTACAAACAATTACTCCAAGTCAATACATTTATGGTGGGTAGGAGTCTAGGTACTTTGTGCTGAGTCACAGACCTCAGGGAATGAAAGAGAAAATGAAAAACAAGTGACAAGATTATGATCATGGTAATTCTTGTAAACTGAATTTTTAAAATATTTGCAGACAGTTTAGAATCAGCTAACAGGAAATCTATCTAGGTTGTCCTTTATCTTCTTTCACTGTAATGGCCAATATACAATGTGGCAAACCCAGTCAATTTATGTATGACCACGCATATCTGGACATATTGTGTACATGTGGGAAAATCGAACAATTTCTATCAGGTTGCTAACCACTCCAATATAGCTTTAACCGTTTTAAAAAGGGTAAAGAAAATATGGTACATATACACTATGGATTACTATGCAGCCATAAAAAAGAATGAGATCATGTCCTTTGCAGGGACATGGATGGAGCTGGAGGCCATGAGACTTGGCAAACTAACACAGGAACAGAAAACCAAATACCACATGTCCTCACTTATAAGCGGAGCTTAGAGAGAGAACATATGGACACATAGAAAGGAACAACAGACACTGGGGCCTATCGTTGGGTAGAGGGTGGGAGGAGGGCGAGGACCAGGAAAAATAACTAAGGGGCACTAGGCTTAATACCTGGGTAATGAAATAATCTGTATAACAAACCCCCGTGACACAAGTTTACCTATGTAACAAACCTGCACATGTACCTTTGAACTTAAAAGTAAAAAAGATGGGGAGCTTAAGTGTTCAGAAAGATATAAACATATCACCACAGTAGATTTTTAGTATGTGTAAAAACTAAGGTGTTGATTCCAATGTATGTTCTCTGTGCCTGAACCTGATAGCAGATTTGTTGCACAATCTCTGTCAAGAGTTTCATGAGGTCTTTTCAACAGATGGCCAAGCCCTTTGTCCTCTTTTCTAAATGTATGCCATTCTTGTGAATTTATTTAACTATTACTAAGTTGGGCTATAGGGACATTTTGGGCTAAATCTGGCCCTAGAACTCTATTTGATAAAACATCAACATTGTAACATTGTAGTTATTTTCTAGCATGAATTTTCTTGGAGGTTTTTTTCATGGTTTGTTCAACCTGAGCAACTAACCTCAGGGAGCAGGACCCATCATGGATAATAACTACTGCAATTTAGCTTCAAACAACTGCTGTGATAAAATCATAACACTAATTGGCTAAGGAATTTAGACTCTAATGTAAAAGCGTGGTTGGGATTTTGTGGGTATACATCACACTGAAAGACAGAAGAGATCCATTCTGGCTGGGAACTTAATAAAGTAATAGGTGACCAATACAGGACCCAGCCCAGCTGTTGTTATTCTTTTGATTTCTTAATTCAGCTGCTGGCAGATACTCCAGTGAGCCTCTATTGTTTGTATTTAGGTAGGATTATTATAACTGGCTTTCTTTCCATGAAGGAGAAATAATTCTCTTCTCATAGACCCAGCAAGCACCACTGGCCTTGGTCCCATCTCTCTTTTTGTCTCTCCCTTTGAGAAACAGGTCTAGGCCTGGTTTTTTAAAAACAGTTCACTTACAAATGAAACAAATGGGTCAGGTTTATTAGGTAAGACCAAATATCATTTCTCCATGAAGGGAAATATTTTAAATGGCTATCACCTTACTAGTTGAAGTGTTGCAGTCCAGTTTTAGGACAGTGACTTGGCAGATAAAAGGAGCATCTCTCATTGACTATTTCTTTCTACCATAGTATATATTTTCAACTTTGAATTTTACATTAATCATATTTTCCTTTTATTACATTCCTCCCTAGCCTCAGAGTAATTCATATTTATTTAAATCATAAAAATCTTGTGGTTAGTAAAATGTAAAGAGCAAGTTATAATTGAAATTCCTTTTATTCCTTTTCTTATTGATAAGTATACTGAATAGCAAATTCTAAAATTTGTGGTTTGTGAATAAGAGTATCAGTTTTTCTTAGGCACAAGTTACTGAATACTGACAAATCCTCCTTGGCTCAATACTGCCTCCAAAACATAACGGCATAAAATGCAACATCAGGGAGAAATAAAAGAGAAAGATGAAGAGAAATTTTACATATATATATATATATATATATAAAAATATACAGAGAGAGGTTACGTGCGTGTATGTGTGTGTGTGTGTGTGTGTGTGTGTGTACAGCAATATTCTTCAAGGTTTCTAGAAGTCTGACCTCTAATTTGTGAATCAAAGAATTAGGTTGAATATCTGAGATAAATTTAAATGCTGCATGTCAATGCTACAAAACCCTTTAGTAAATGTATAACAAATCAACAGCTTCTAAATCTGCTGTTGAGAGAGGAAGTTCAAATTTGTTGAACCCTCGTTATTATAGGCTTGAAAGGCTTCTCGTGCCGAAGCAAGATCTGCATGATTATGCTGCCAAGCACGAGTTGAGTTGGGCTGAATGCTGTTCCCTGTAAGCCTAATTGACAATTTTGTTGCCCTTCTCTGACTATTTAAGAAGAGTTGTGAGGTCAGTGGCAATGATACTTCTCTGAGTCATAAATGCCATCCAGCAGGACATTTTTTTTAACCTGTTCTTTTAGAAGGCTGCAGTGTCAAATATTTAAAAATAAAATGTTTTACAGGAGAAGAGGAATCTGACAACACAGCTGACCCACATTTCAGAAGGAAAATGAGAAATATAAGGGTCAGATCCCAGCCAGTGGGAACACAATGAGCACTTACGCTGTAAATGAAGTAGTGAAATCGCCCACTGGAACAAGCAATTTTCATAACCAGTATACTTCAGTAAAATGAATTTTATCCTATCCTGTGACCTCCTCAAGTTCCCAAACCAAAAGTCTTCAGGGTACATCAGACTGGCAAAAAAAAAAAACAAAAAAAAAAAACGCACAGTCACCTCTGTAAGTGGCAAATTAAGTATCCAAATACCAATTCTCAAAAAATTAACCCAAATAATATACTGTCATTAGTACTTAGGGGAACTTATTTGTTAAATGATCATTTATTTTCATAATTTTCTTTTTCCATAAGTTTGGACATCGTAACATCAAAATTTCTAAATGGAAGTATTGCAACCAGCAAATTAAGCAGAAACATCAGCATCAAGGTATGGAATCCAAATATCTAAGGATTAAGTAAATGTTAAGGCTATAAGCATAATAACCTATCAGTTGCTGGATATATTTCAGACATTTGTTTTTGTTTTCCAATATATAAGAAAGTGTAATTCATTTTTTTCACTTGACAGTTAAGTGTTTGAATAATATTGAGACAATGAGAGCAGTTTTGATACTTCCTCATGAAGTGTAAAGAAATATCTATTTGAAAAGCCATTGTTTTCCATAGGTCTTGTAATTTTTTTCTTCAATTTTTGTGGGTATATAGTAGGATTTTCCATTTGACGAATGTCTTATTATTCAAAATATAGAGCTCATAACATTTTTATTAATCTTTCACATTTTTCTAGTTCTAAAAATGAAGAAAATAGGTATATTTATATAAACAAAAATATAGTTTCCCTTAAGTTGTTTGCATATATCTTTAAGCAAATATATCCTGAAAAATATTTTGAAATTATATAGTTATGAATCACATAAGATCCCTTTGAAAGCCTGATGCAGATAATGAAGTTTGATTGTAATTTCAAGTCTGAATAAAAATAAAAACCATCTTAAATCTCCTAATTCATAAATTTAATTAAAGAGGACTACAATAATGACATAAAATTGACTAGACCTAGCCCAAATTTTCTGGATCACTGTGAAGAATGTAGCTTACTTAAAACATAACACTTTTCATAAATGACATGAGCTACGACTAGATCATTTAGAACAATATAGGATGAATATCATCACATTACAGAAGACATACTTTTTTCCAGTATAATACAGATTCACTGTTATGCCACAGCTTAATCTCAATGACATATTTTCTAGGATTATCTTTGTAAAGACCTTATTTTGTACTTCAACAGTGGTGGATCAAATTCTTTAAATGATAATAAAACTGAGAGTCATAAAAGAGATGGTCAATAAGTTACAGTTTTTCTTTCATCTCCCAATTCTGGTTTTTCATTCTGACAGCATTTCCCCAAGTACACTTCTGTGAGTACTAAAAGAAACTGTAGTTGATATGCGATCTTAATTTTTCAGAGGTAGTTTGTGGCTGTATTTTTGTTTCTCTATAAGCACATGAATGCTACATGATTAACAATAGTAAATAATAAGTTTATTTTTAATTTCTTTTTTTATAGTCTCATAAGAACCTCAACTTATTTCAGAGTTTATACCTATGGCATGTATTAGCTAAAACTAAAAAATATATAGTCTATACACATTATTTTATTGTTTAAATGGTCCTCATTCATGTTTCATTTCCATAATATTTCCCCAGCTTGTGAAGCTTATGTTACATTGAGCTCCTTTTTAAATTCACAATGCATAAAACTGCCAGGTGGCCTAATAACAGAGTGGATTAACAGATTGAACTATAAATCAGATGGTTGTGTTCACGTACTGTAAAAATACCACCAATTTCTTTCAGATTATAGTTTGTACACTGATTCCACAGAGTGATCACAAATGCATTGGGAAATTTAAAATGAAGAAAGAGATCATATATCCCAATCTAAAAAATAGTATTTTCTTCATTTTCACTTTATCAGTATTTTTATCAACCTTGTATCATTGTTGTGAAATTAAATAAAATAATAATTATAATCCCCATGAAACACTGCCTAGCCAAAAACCATTACTATTATTACTACTAGTATTTAAACCTATTAAATCTATATTAAAATCATTATTTTTGATTAATGATTTAATATTATGGTAAATAGTTATTCATCTCAACATTTATTGAAAACATGCAGTGAGTCATGACTGTTTGTTATATAAAGTAGTAAAAATCGGGAGTATTTATAGAAATTGCATATCTCCAGGATGCTTAAATAATTTGAAAAATGAGATAATAATTTATATTTTTTTCCAAGGCAGTGGGATTTTTGTAAAGCATTTAAGTTTAAGCACAAATGTATATAGCAACCTGGACTTTTCATACCTGGAAAAAGGAACAAAAACCAACTATAGCACAATGCAGTGCACGAGTAAGGAAACTGCAAACCGAGAACTCAACTTGCTTATTGATGGTTGTGCAGCTCAGTGGCAACGGAAATAGAGCAAGAGCCTTGTCAGCACGTGAATAATGACTCCCCTTTGCATAGTGCATAAGAGTTTACAGAGTGTATGTGTAGACTTCATCTACCTTATAGCAATAAGTGGGGAGAGTTACACGGAGGCCCAGTTTTTCTACTTTTAGGTACAAAGCTCTATGTGCTGTCTCACTCCCCCAATCTAGTGCTGTTTCTATTATTTTATGGTATTTCCATGTCCCATGAGTGTTTTCATGTTAACAGAATATATTTTATGAACCAACAGAAGCAAACAGAATCAATTTCATCTTGCAAGTTGAAATACATGTAGCACAATTAGAAACATATAAACTACATGTAGATGGGTAAAGTCAATAATATTACAGCCCTATGTGCGAAAGTCATAAACTAAAAATTCAAAAGCAGAATGAAGACTGATTAAGAAAGCTTTCATGATTTGTTGGCTTTTTAAAAAAGTGTTGATTTATCAGCAAAATAAATCCAAGGAGGCTGGGCGTAGTGGCTCACACCTGTAATCTCAACACTTTGAGAGGCTGAGGCAGACGGATCACGAGGTCAAGAGATTGAGACCATCCTGGCCAACATGGCGAAACCCTGTCTCTACTAAAAATACAAAAATTAGCTGGGCGTGGTGGTGCATGCCTGTAATCCCAGCTACTCGGGAGGCTGAGGCAGGAGAATTGCTTGAACCCTGGAGGTGGAGTCTGCAGTGAGATGAGATCATGCTACTGCACTCCAGCCTGGTGACAAAGTAAGACTCCATCTTAAAAAGAAAAAAAAAAAATCCAAGGAACAGCTTCATGTGAAGGAATGGTAGGTCAACAGAAAAAAGTATACAAGCTGCAATGACAATGTTTAAGTCATTAGAGAAATCATGCTGAGATAAGTTAGCATTTTAGCAGTGAGCAGAGTCTAACATGAGACTTTTAAAAGTATTCATATACCTATAATGCTGAAGAGCCAGCACACATGTAGAATTTTGGTGAAGCAACAAACTGTTGCTCAGGTTACGTATCTTCCCCATGTTTGTGGGGCACCTACTATGGATGCAGTCTGATATCAGCAGCAGGAAGAAGAAGGAGCCAGAGGGTCTCCCACCAGCAATTAAATGCTCTCACTCAAAAATGACTCAAGTCACCTCTACCTATAACATAATGGCTGGAAGTAACAAGTCATACTCAACCACAAAGGGAATGGGGAATTATAATTCCCCCATAAGCCTGAAAAGGAGGAAACCATGGGCAAGCATTAGAAGACTCAACTATGGACATGATTAAAATGTAGTTTACCTCTTCTCATAATACTGCCTGTTGACTCTTTTAGACAGTTTTCAGGGCTGATCATTACCAAATATTGAATATATTACTGTCTGCAGAGCATTATGGTGCACACTCTGAGGGAAGGGAAGATGGGAAAAAGATTCTCACTCTAGCATTCATACTCTATAGCAGGGCTTCTCAACCTTGACATTATTGACATTTGAGGCTGGATAAGTCTTGTTTGTGGGATCTGTTCTAAGCATTGAAGGATATTTTATAGCATCCCCGTTTCTATTCACTAGATGCCAGCAGCAGTCCTGATCCTCCCTGCAAATTTTGACAATCAACATTTTCTTGAGACATTGCTAATATCTGAAGGGCAAAGTTGTTTTGCATGCTTTATAGAGAGGTGAATTCAAAGTGCTCCAGGGAAAAACATTAGATGTTCAAAAAATCGCACTCGTAGTTTGGAAGGGAAGGGATTAATTTTTATTGGGAGAACCCGAGGAAGCCTTTTGGAGAGGGTGAATTTGGCTGAAGACATAAGAAAGAATGTTTTCTGACATGGTGAAAAGAAGTAGGCCTAGATGGTAAAAAGAGTTGGAGCAAAATCTCAGAAGTGCAATAAAGCAGGATGAGTTCAGAGTGCAATCAGAGATGTAATGGAGAGAGTTAGTCTGAAATTACCTTTGGTTATAGATAAGTCAAGAAATGAAAAATGTACACAAAGATAATACATATAATTATATCCGGCTTTTTCTTGCATTTCTTAAGAACTAACTTAAATTTTAATTTCTATTTATGGATAGAGTATGGAGCAATTGGGGATGGTTCAAAGAAGATACCCACACAACAATTAAAAAGCTAGAATATAAAATCTGCAAGTTTATGTTTTGAGGAAGGGTGGTATCTTAATAAACAAATGGTATGGAAAATTTTGGGATATGCCTTCCATTGATGTGTCTCCCCCATACCTCTCTGTGTGGCAGAGACAATGGAACTCACCAAACTTTCCATCTATTCCCCTATGTGTTACCCCTCTGCAGCTTGGAGGGGCATGTGTTCTGAACAATAGGATATGGGGAAGTGATGGACCAAAGCATAAGGAGCCAGCCTGTGACCCCACAGCTAGATCTTCCCTTGCTGAAGCAACCTAGAAAACCAAATGCTCCAGATAGTGTAGTGAATGATAAGGTTGCCTCAGTTATCCTGGATCTCTGAGTAATCATGTGGAGCAGAGTCTCCAGTCAGCTCACATTGTACATTTATTCTCCTTTGAATGGTAAATCTATTTTTGGTGTATGTAGCCTTTGACAATTGGTACATTGTCTTTTTAACACAGCATTAATTAGCTCCTTTTGACTAATATGAAGTATAGAGTTCTGTCCAGCACTGAGATGAAAATAAGTACAAATAGAAGTAAGATAACATATAAAGTGAGATAGCTAATAAAATCACTGATTATATAAAAATCACAAGAATGAAACATGTCTTTATATAAATTCAGTTTTTAAAAGTATGATCTTGAGCAAGAGTTAAGTATTAGAAAAGATAATCCTTGAGATCCTCTTTTGCACTAAGATTGTGAGAATGGCTCTAATTTTCCTTTCTAAGTTTTTTTTTTTTTCTGTAACTCACCCATATGAACTACCTTCTCCAACTAAATAACTTTTCAGAGCTCCCCTACCTCCAAATCTATTCACACCTTCTTTCACTCTAAAAATCTCTACTTTTTATCTCTACTTATCCAATTTCTATCTACCTCTCAAGACTTAGTTAACCCCAACCACTCTCACATGAGATCTTTTAGACCCTGACTTGATGTTATTCTTCTGAATTTATTAGTCTTAGAATAATCATTTAGTGTTTATAAAAATCTTTTATTTCTGGCTTAGTCTATATTTATTTTCATTTCCATGTCATCTCAAGAAATGCATTAAAAAATTCCTGAGGCCGGGTGCGGTGGCTCATGCCTGTAATCCCAGCACTCTGGGAGGCCGAGGCGGGCGGATCACAAGGTCAAGAGATCGAGATGATCCTGGCTAACACGGTGAAACCCCGTCTCTACTAACAATATAAAAAATTAGCCAGGCGTGGTGGCAGGCACCTGTAGTCCCAGCTGCTCCGGAGGCTGAGGCAGGAGAATGGCGTGAACCTGGGAGGCAGAGCTTGCAGTGAGCCGAGATCGCGCCACTGCACTCCAGCCTGGGTGACAGAGCGACACTCCGTCTCAAAAAAAAAAAAAAAAAAATTCCTGAGAGCTGAATGTCCATTTTCTTACATTCCTACTGCTCACAACAGTGGACAACATGTTTTGTAGATAGTAAATACTTAATAAAGATGTGACGATTGTTACTGCTTATGGGTTTAACCTTTAGCTATCCAATTTACATTCTACTATTTGAATTAAGTATATTCATGTTCATTTGTAGTCTACATAGCTTAACATCATATCTAACATTATAATTATATCTAACATCAAAGGGCAGGTCAGAAAGATCTTCAATAGAAAACTTTCCATGTCACCACTTAGATGCAGAGAGAGTTGAAATACATGTAATGTGGACAATGTATCTATAGGATATTTGTTTTCTCTTTATGTCAGAACTGACCCTCTTCAAAGAAATTTATTCTTTATTTTTATTTTTAATATGTGTGCGACCACCCTTATATTCTTTGTAGTCACTGTTAGAATCTATTAAGAAAAACATTAACAAGAAAAAGACACACAAAGGGCAGATAAAAGATTCATAGAGAAGCTGAAACATCCAGTCCTAAGCAAAAACTAGAGTAGACAAGAAAGGACCCCAGAGGAAGAACAATGTAGTTACTGTGTGATCAATATATCTTGTGATGTATCACAGAATAATTAAAACTCTGTGCCAACCAACAAAACAATTATACCAGGCCAAACCACTATTCTCTCTGCTTTCAAACAAAGGAGTTTTCAGAAGCTAAAAGATATTTGCCCACCCACCCCTGGCAGCCTAGGTAACAGGGAGAGAAAAGTTAGAACATGTTAAAAGAAGAAATCTATTTACAATGTGTTTGCCCTAACTCTCCAAGTGTCTGCAAGGTTTAGCTGCTTAATTTTTACCACACAGTCTGTATTTGTACTGACTTTAGTGACACATATGTGAGTACATTCCTACTGGAAAGTCTAGGTCTCACTAAACACAGCAGTATAGGCATATTCATCCTTCAGCAGCTTTTTGTCTGAAAATGCAAATCAGTGAACGGAAACATTTTTCATGAATGTTTTTATTAGTTTTTTTCAAGTTCAGTTAATGTTAATCTTGAGGCAATACATTTTTAGATTTTTTATTGGTGTCAGAAGTTGTTACATATCTGAGTCTGTCTAACTGTGGGCATCTGAGTCTGTATTCTATTTCTTGTATTCACCAAAAAGATAAAAAGATAGCAGCATATAGAGTACTATGAAAGTGATATACCACTCTAACTTAATAGTTTTAACAAGTCAGGTGTTCACAAATGCCACTGTATAGATGATCTAGAAATAAATTATCTTCCAATAAAATAGATTTTTAAAAATATAGTAATAGTTCAAATTTTTTCATATGAATTACCCTTTATCTGAATCTACTTCTGAGGGTAAGTAGAATATGAGAGAAAGAATCACTGGAGAAAAATTTATTATTTCAAACTTTCAAAATCTCATAGAAACTGTATTTTCAAGCATGAAATTAAATGTGAGGTTCTTAGTGCATTGAAAGTCCAGATTTTATGTTTATTTTCTGGGAAATAAGGTCAAATCCACCATTAAAACTGTGTCAAAGTATGATATAGTGGCAAGCTCTTTGAATTTAAAAAGTAGAACAAGAGAATTCTTGTCCTGTATGTGCTACCTCATGGCTATGGATAATTTCTTTGAATGTAGTTTCTCAGCTTTCTTATCTTTGTGGCTCTTCTCGAAAACATAAAGGTTAAATAAAATTTGAAACAAAACAAAAATAAGAGACCAGTCTTCATTATCGGATTTCAAATAATAGTGGCATAAAAACAGTACTGCTCCCATTGCCTCTTGGCAATAACCCCAAAACAGTAAGTATGATGAGAAACAGAAAGGAAAAAATTAAAAACCCTCAACATTTAACACAAGTAGACCTTTGTAACCTGAGTCACCGTGTATATGGAATGGCTGCCCAGTAAAGAAAGGGCCAAACAGAAGTGCAGCCACATGGTAAGAAATGATGCCCATGGCTGCAGATCTTGGGCAAACACAACAGGCACAGTCCTTCAAAACAGTAGCCTGCTCTGAGAGGGAAGAATGGCATTATGTTATTTGGAAAAATAGGAAATGGGTCTTAAGCTGGTCCTACTTGCTTCCCAAGACTCAGTCTGGTATTAAGGATAAACAAAGGGGTGGATCTAATAGAAAAACCACACAGACTTGTCCTTTGTTGGCAGGAAGCTCTCTGAGACAGGCCAGAGTCAAGAAGAGGCTTGACATTGTAGTTAACAGTATAGCTATTGAACTTGATTGGTTAGGAGAAGAAAAAGCAAAAGGAACTTGTTCACGTGCACAATCCTATGTCATTAGGAGAAGTGCTAAAGTATTTGGAGCATGGCCCTGACTACCCTCAATCTCCAACACAAACTTCATTTGACATCACGGGTTGAGAAAAAACTCATCTCACTCAAAGCCGAATGATGTTGTGAGAAAATAATACAAAATCTAATCAGTGATAAGGACGAAAAGATGAAGATCAATAGGGAAAAAAAGGCAGTTAAAGAACCCCCTTCAGAAATACTTGCCATGGAACATAGAGAAATTATGATTAAATTATATGACACGCAGCCAACAAGAATATGAAAAATGCTCAACATCACTAATCAGAGAAATGCAAATCAAAATCACAGTGAGATGCCATCTTATGCCAGTCAAAATGGCTGTTGTTAAAAAGCCAAAAAATAACAGATTAAGGTGAGGTTGCAAAGAAAAGGGATCACTTATCACTGTTGGTGAGAATATAAATTAGTTCTGCCATTGTGGAAGGCAGTTGGGAGATTTCTCAAAAAACTTAGAACTACCATTCAACCCAGCAGTCCCATTACTGGGTATATACCCAAAGAAGTATAAGTTGTCCTACCATCACAGCACTAATCATGATAGCAAAGACATGGGATCAAACTAAAGGCCCATCAATGGTGGACTGAATAAGGAAAATGTGATATACATATACACCATGGAATACACACATCCATAAAAAAGAATGAAATTATGTCTTTTGCAGCAACACAGGTGGAGCTCGAGGCTCTTCCCTTTTTTTTTCTTTTTTTTTGTTTTGAGACGGAGTCTCGCTCTGTAGCCCAGGCTGGAGTGCAGTGGCGCGATCTCAGCTCACTGCAAGCTCCGCCTCCCGGGTTCACGCCATTCTCCTGCCTCAGCCTCCCGAGTAGCTGGGACTACAGGCGCCCGACACCACGCCCGGCTAATTTTTTTTTTTTTTTTTTTTTTTTTTTTTTTTGTATTTTTAGTAGAGACGGGGTTTCACCGTGTTAGCCAGGATGGTCTCGATCTCCTGACCTCGTCATCCGCCCGCCTCGGACTCCCAAAGTGCTGGGATTGCAGACGTGAGCCACCGCGCCCGGCCGGCTCTTTCCTTTATAAATAACCCAGTTTGGGGAAGTTCTTTATAGAAGTGAGAAAAAGGACTAATACAGGGCCATTGAGGATTTTTCTAGAAAACCAAATTCTCTTCACAATGTTTTGAAAGGAAAAAATATGTGATTCCTTGCCAATGCATCTTTGTGACAGGACACGCACATGAGTTGAGAGTTCTCTCTATACCTGTATGTGTTTTTGGTTCAGTAGTCAAGTTTTTTAAGCTCAACACCAGAGACCAAGGTTTTAGGTCTGGTACTGCCATTGACTTTAAACAAGTTGCATTATTTTTCAGAATCTGGATTATCCTATTCCTAAAATGGGGATGCTAATTGAACTATCAATTTCTTAGGATTAAGAAATTTGTCAAATATAAAAGTGTTTCAAATTCTTCATACTTATATTAAGATTTTTTTTTTTTTATTCTGAGAGGGCATTTTACAATTATTTGAAATTTTCTGAATTGTTTTATCTGAGGAATTAAAAAAAATTCTCCTGTCAAAGCTTGGTTAATTTCATTCAATTCTTGCTTTTGTTTTACCATAGGTTGGTGGGGCTGTAATACAGGAAAGTTCCAAATTGTAAGCAGGACATGCAAAGGGCCGTGCTTTGCTGCATTTGTGCAAATGAGAAGTAGTTTTCACAGTCTGAGCACAACTTTCTCTTTTTTAAAGCAAATGTAATCAAATGTAGTATTAACAGTATGAAGTTAATGAGGGTTTTGGAATATTGAGGTAATGCTGAACAGCTAGAGAAAACACAGAATCTATGAAACTTCAGATGAGGTTAACAAATCAGGAACTGAAAAGTCACCTTGATAAACATTATGTTTATGGCTGCAGGATGTTGATTTATGGTAATCACTATTCTAATCAGTCTATGCTCTTAAACAGAATTGCAAAAAAAAAAAAAGGAAAAAACTACACTGCAGTTTCCCTGAGATGACTTTAATTGCAAAATTATACCTATTTTCTACTATTTCACGAAATGTGGATTTCATTGAGAAATGTTTTAAGTGTAATTTAAAATATTAGAAAAAATGGAAGACAGGCAAAGCCCTTTAAATACAAAAGTAGAAAGAAATATATTCAAATTAAATAGCAGAGAAGAAACAAATCTGACTTTGGACTGAGTTTATATTTCAATTTGAAGCCATGAACCACAAAAAATAGCAATGTTTCGTATGATGGCCTTTTGATCTGTGTTTTTTTCCTTTTGGTTACTTTTCACCAAATGTAGTTTTGATGTTTAGCCCTCAGTATGGGTATTTATTCAGCTTCATTTAATTTCTTATTATGTCCAGCTTTTTTGTCAATAGTGCATTTGGAGAGCAGATTTTTCAGGATTGTGTGCAATAGCCTCCCTATTGCTGATGTCTGGGCAGAAATCGGGATATTTGTGTTAGATTGTCCCTATTGATCCATGTTTGTTTCTTTTCTGAACTAAGCATCAGAGACATCATGCTTTTATTTATTAACTCTCTCTCCTCAGTCATGATGGCATGGGGTGGTAAGTCAAATGACAGAATTGATCTTGAGCTCCTAAAATCTGATACCCAATAATACGCCTTCTAACATCAGGTGAGGTACAACTAGAAGATGATTTTAAAATCTCTGTTGTAATGGAGCTAAACTCCCAAGAGTTCTAGATATACTTTTGTAACCTTCAGTAGTTTCTGTGTTTTTGACCTTACTGAACAGCTGTTAAATGAATTATTCCTTCATGCTTGGCAGTTTTGTTTTGTGACTATCTTAAAATTCCCCGTAAACAGAGATATAGTGATCTGCATGAGCCCATTTCAGGAGAGTGAAGTCTGACTTTTTATTGCAGACATAGTATTTTATTGTATTGTCCTAGCTTCTGTTATCATCCACCTTTCTAAAAAGATTGTAAATGGAATGCTATGCTGCTGTCTGTCATAAACTTATAACTTCCTATACTTCCAAAAATATGCAGGTGTCTATGCCTAGATTTTGCTCCTGTAATGGAATAATGTTTATTTCAACTCAAGTATTAGACTATATATTTATCATCCTCAGTTTTGAGGACCAAAGACCTGGATGGCTCTGTACAATAGTACCTTATCAGATTGTAGAGAGATAAGTGGAATAGAGATGAACCGAGGAATACAGGAATAGAAATATTTTTTAAAGTATTATATATGAGAAAGAGTTCTAAACTGGTAACATGATAGAAGCTTCTGGAACTCTGGTTGTAGCTATTACCAGTAATGATCAGGATGTGCTACTATTTCAAGAAAGTGTAAGATGTAAGAATAAAATCTTGGCCAATAATTTATTTGCCCTCGGTGTCCCCTCAAATGGAAGACCTTTTAAAAACCCAGAAAACTACTGAATTTAAATTCTTGGAAGTCATTTATTTTACCCCAGTGTTCATGCAGACAGTACGTGACACCTCACTGCTAGATAATGTCTAGTCTTCTGGGCCTCCGAAGAAGAGGTTTCTGCAGTCAAATACCCGGTGTCAACACACAACAACCCTCCCTGCCAGGGTTGCTTTTTTTGTACCCAGACCTCATGGCTCAAACTTACCTGAATTTGGATACCATTGCTCTACACATAAAACATTCCATATACTTGAAGATTGTTAAATTATCTCTGACTTCTCATTTAGAAGAGAAATAATTCTTGTTCTTTTAGCTTTCCCTCAAAGGTATTAGCCTTCAAATCTTTTATCACTTTCATTGCTCTCCTTTGGAAACTGTCCAAGTATTTCACAGGCCTCTAAAGTTTTGGAAGTTAGGACTAGAAGCTATGTTCTGACAAGTGAGAGGATGACCTCAAGTTTAGCATAATATACATTTTACACATTCCTGGAGCATTGCATTTGCCCTTGTAAACTACAAGTGATGCAAAGCAAATCATCTGTTATTCCACATGACCCTTCGTTCATCCCTAATTTTCCCAAAATGTAGCAGACAGGCATTTCCTGTCTCAGAGCTGTGTGTCATATTTAATCGTCCCTCCAAAAATGTGGGAGTAGACAGCAAAACATCCACAATCACCTAGAGAGGAGCAGCTGTAGTCTATTCATAGATACATGGCAAAGACAGTCAAATGTGAAACAAACATAAAACAAGCCAGGTAAAGCCTGCTTGTTGTATGACTTGAAAGAAGGATGAAACAAAAGCATGACAGATCAAAGTGGTTTTAATTATTGCTATTATAGTAATAATGTCAGCATTATTTTCAAGGGTCTGATGCAATGATCCATTGCATGCTGTGAGATGGTGTCGTAAGTGTCCAACATGGAGTGCTGTGGTGAATTCTGAACCGGGAAAGCTGACAGACTCCATTCTGTCTGCCAAAAGTAAATTTGCTGAAAGTGTGGCTTGGGAAGTATAGGTTAGATCTAAATAAGAGTTAACTTATTTGTGCTAAAGGACAAGGGTGCTTCACAACATTTTTGTTCATTTGGTTCAGTGATTCTTGACTATTTTAATCTGCATTTTCTACATTGCTGAAGAGGCAAGTTCTTCTCCACTTCTCCAGGCATCTCTCAGCACCCCTACTCACGTCCATTATTGCCAGCCATACTGAATCCCTTTGATTCCGTGGATGCAATATGCGTACTTCCCTCTGTTCCATCTGGAATGCCAGTCCCTCTGTTTGGGCCATTCTTCCCCTTTCTTCCTCATTTAGCTTCCATTTGCATTTCAGTATTAGGTTAGTGTCAGTTCTCAAATACCTTCTCTGAACCTCCTACCTTTGTCCTAGGACCCCTGTTTTGTGCTCCAATATCACCTATACCTTCATCCAAAAACATACCTTGATTTATTATAGTAGCTTGTGGACATATTCCTCAATAGATTGTAAGAGACTTGTGAAGGCAAGATCACCTTTTTCATTTTGTTTTTTGCAGTATGTCCACGACTTAACATAGTGCTTGGTACAAAGGAAAGTTCAATAACTTTGTGAAATAAATAACTACTGGCACCAGAATTCTCTCATTAAACTATGAATATAATTGGGTTACTCTATGATCTTAAAAACTTTGATTATTCTTCATTGACTACAGGATGAACCACAACATTTTTACAAAGCATTATTTTGTCCTTCATGATATAGCCACAACCTAACTTTTAAGATTTTCTCTGTAAGTTTTGTGCCCCAGTGTTCTCTCTATACTACAATATGCCCTTCAGTTACATCAGACAACTTGATTCTTACCTTATATATCAACACATATTCTACTCAGCCTCACATACTTTAGATCTAACATTTTACTCCAACCTTTATTGAAACAACCATTTGTGCTAAGATGTACTCTGATATCTCACCTCTACTGCACAATATGTTTCTTATCTCCCATCCAGGGCTTCTCTGCCAACAGCACTTGTCATACCAGCAGGAATCTGCTCAGCCATTCTACACCTGCTGGAACCTTCAAGCACAAATGAGTTAACATATCTGGGGAAACCTTTGACCCCCTGGAAGCAGAGCCAGCAAATAGACTCCTGTTCCATGTCCTGAGCAGATCACTCTAAAACACAGTTGACATGCTCCTCTGAGGGTTTCCCAGGAGCTTAAGTCCCAGTTTCACAGTGGCAACTTGCTCAGGAAGATATCTTTGTTTCATTTTTAAATGTATATATAAACGTATGGGTACAAACCCAATTTTGTTACATGCATAGATTTCATAGTGGTCAAGTCGAGGCTTTTACGGTATCCATCACCCAAACAGTGTACATCATATCCATTAAGTTATTTCTCATCATCCAAGGAATACAACTTTGGATTAGTGTTTCCTCTTTCCTGCTGTTACACTTCATTGTCTTCTCCTCCTGTTCCATGTGATTCCCTTGCAAATAAACTATCTGCAGGCAAATCCTTAACTAGTTTGGGGAAAACCCAGAGTTAAACCATCTTAATATGCCGTGTGTACCTTTACACTTATTGTTCCCTCTACCTGGAATTCTTAGCCAGCCCACCCTGAGCCCTCCTCTTTCGATGCTCTATTCATCATTCAAACTCTAACATAAATGGCATTTCCTTCAGATCCAGATTTAACTACTCAATCTTCTGGATTCTGATTGCGTTTTGTATGCATTTCTTTTATATCCAGCATTGTAATCAAATATTACAAAGCTATGAGAATATGAAAAGTACATATATTCAGCCATTTAACTTATTTATAAAATGTTTCATGACAAATGCTTATATGCAGAGACATTTTGAAAAGGATCTAAGTAAAATTTTCTATTATTGATATTCAGGATTATATTCTATATTTAATAAACTCTATTTGTAAATATCCTTTGATCGGGCTGAATTTATATGGAGTACCCATTCTACATTGAGCAAATATTCTACGTTGATTATTTGGTAGGTAGTTTCTTTTAGGGTTCATTTTGTACTTGGTAGTATATAAGCTTTTTTATTCCCTTGGGCTGAAGGAAGTAGGGGAGTAGCCTTGAGGGAGAGTTGGGACAAGGATTGACAGAGTCAGTGACAGAGAAAGCAGGGCCCCAAGTGCTGGTTTCTGCCCACCAGTTATAGATTAAGGGATTATTTTCATGTCACTTGGCAATGGTCAGGCCATGTTGTACAGGTCTCCCAAGTGATTGTGTGTGACAGAGAGTCACACAAGGAAGATACCTATGTTCTCACCTATTCTGCATCTGTCTGACACTCTGATGAAACAGGGCAGGACAAAAACATAGACTACAAGGTCTGGCAGAAGAAAAGCTATGTTTGACAATCTGGAGCCTTCTCTAAGTTCTCCAGCGCTGCTCTGTATGGGTAGGGGAAACAGTTCAATTTCCATAATGACTCTTTTTGGGACACTACCAATGCCCAGTTTGGAAAGGTCCAGAGAAGCTCTGGGTACATAGTTAATGGACCCAGAGGCCCTAACATGGTGGCAGGAAAAGGAGAAATTAAAGGTATGTTTTTCGCAAATTTCCTAACTATAATACAAAATAATACGTAAAGATCGTGTGTTGTTATCTAAACTGAATATGAAAAGTTTGTTTTGGCTTAGAACTATAAGTGTTACTTTTAACCTTAAAATGTTAATATATGATGACTCCTTCCAGGCATATATTATGAGAATATGGATGTGTCAGTCTTTTACTGCCTTTGTTAATTGGTACTTTTTAACTTCTCATGTAAAACCACTTGTAAGGCTACATTTAATGCAGAAAACCTTCATGACTCCTTAAATTATGAAAATCTTATTCCTCAAAAGTCAATAATCTCAGGGCCCTATGAATTTATTATAAATATTAAGCTTTGAATAATGTAAGTGGATCCTAGCTGATGGGATTTGTGTCCTGTCTCCCTCTCACAACAATATTTGAACTACCATTGATCCTCTGGGATAAGCCTCAGTGGATGAAAGGGGCTTCCTGGGGATGTCTTCCTTATGGGTTGATGCCCCAGTGGAGGGTGAGTATTCTCCAGCTAGTCAGCCTCTTCTACTAAAATGGCACTCCTAATTTAATAGAGGATCTCTTAATCACTCATCAGTATGTTTGTTAACTGGGTGTTTTTGTGAACCATATTACTTTAGATTAGAAACAGGGGTCTTAGAGATAATATAATATATTAATTATCTGGGAATGTCAGTTACTTACGATTTCTACTATAAATTACATTTTTGGTAAGATAATTTGAGATCTATGAATACCACGATGACTATTTTTATTATAACAATATTATAACATTATCATTATAATACATGCCTCATTATAGAAGCCCAATGACATATTTAAATTACTTAAAATGAGAAAGAATACTTTAATAATTTTTCATTTAATTGGCAGTTTTTTAAATGACGAGATGTTGATGTTGATTTTTACAGAATGATAATATATCCCAAATTCCAGATTGGGAGTAAATGTATATCTTAATTTTTTTTTTATGTAAGAGCTACAAAATGATTCTTTCCATAGTCCCAACACTTACTGAAATATAGTATCCAACTTAAAAGGCATCTGTGGACATTAGGGTTCTTAATGAAGTGACAGTAATTGAATGAAGCAACATAAGTTAAAATAGTTGACACAAGTTTGCGTACATAAGTAAAGGATCAGAGACAACAAGGCTGACTGACTTTTTACTACAGAGAAGAGAATTGTCTGCTGCAGACTTTTAAAGGTATGGCCACAGCTCTTTGCAGTCTAGTCTCCAAAAACGATGTGGTGAAAAGACAGAGGCTGACAGCCCTGGAATTCCTCAGCAGAAGACCTTATCCAGGAATGAGCATTAGAAGCGTCAGTGAACTATTTCAAGGCAATACGTTTACATTGGGAGCCAACCTCCTGCATTGGGATTGCTATGTGTGGCAGGAGAGGTGATGGATATCTTTAGAATGCTCTTGAGTCACTTGGATGAGACCACTTGGTTAAGAATCATTGCCCTAAGGCTGTGCTTCTCAAACTTTAATAGGCAAACGAATTATCCAGAAAGTTTCTCTGAAGTGTGTCTGCTCTAAATTCACGTTGAGCATCCCTAATCCGAAAATCCAAAATCCTAAATTCTCCAGAAACTGAAACTTTTTGAGCACCTACATAATTTAATTTCAGATATTCAGATAAGGCATGCTTAATATCAGCAACTATTTCCAAATCTGAAAAAAAAAAATCTACAATCCAAAACACTGGTGGTCCCAAAAATTTGGGATAAAGAATACTCAACCAACCTGCAATCTGATTCATAAAAATGGTATTGAGTCCGGGAAGCTAAATATTAAGAAACACTTGAGTAGATTCTAAGATAAGTGCTCTAAGGCCACACTTAGAGGAACAAGGTTTTCCCTCTCTCTAGGGAGAGATTTAAAATGGCATCCTGTGAGCAAATTACCCACCACATTCATCTTTAAAAGGCTTCTGTGCCTTAACTGCAATCTAATGATTGCATCGAAAAGTCACTTGTTTTCAATTCAATGGACAGGTCTTTTTATTTTGTATTTTTTATTGATATAGTTATCCTTGTTTTGCGGGAGGCACATGTAATATTTCGATACATGTATATGATGTGTAATGATCAATTCAGAGTAATTGTAATATTCATCACCTCAAATATTTATCTTTTCTTTGTGTTGGGAACATTCCAATTCGTCTAGCTATTTTGAAATATACAATAAGTTATTTTACGCTATAATTTCCTTACTCTACTATTGAAAAGCAGAATTTATTCCTTCCTAGATATATTTTTATACCTATTAAGTAACTATATATACCTGTTAACTAACTATATAACTCACTGTATTTTTATACCTATTAACTAACTTCTCAACAGACATTTAAAAAATTTCTTTCTCTACCTTTTTTTAAAACAGTTTTAATCAAGGGACTTAAGGATCCAAAGAATTCTACAATATTTGTTAGAGAGAGAGACAAAGCACCCATTCCCCCATCTCCATTATCTTCACCTCAAAGGCAACCATTTTCATTGTTTTTAGCTGGTTATTTTGCATCCACAACAGTGTCACTAAATAATATTTTTTCATTTCTGTTAGCTTTCAGTTTTAGTCATTCATTGACTTTTTTTCATCTTCCACTTTCTCTTCTCATGTACAACTTTCCAACCCTCTCTCCCCGCATTCTCCCAATATAGTCATGTCATGATTTGGATTAGATAAATATTCTTGCATAGTTTCTCTCTGGAGCTGATAGCTACTTATTTTTAGTTTGCTTCATTCTCTATGTATTCATCATTAATTTCACCAAACTCTTTAACTGCTGCCTGAATTTTTCTCATTCTTCAGATGCATCTGGTACATTATCTACTTTGTCTTGTTGGAGACGTCTCTGCAGGATGTCTATGATCTGCTCCTGTCTGGATGAATTGGCTACTACATTGCCAGGCCATTGTCATCCTGGATCCCTGTCCTCTGCTTGTCTCTTTATCTCTGTCCAATGTTGAAGTTCTTGCACCCTGAATATCTTCCTCTCTCCTTGTTTTACTCTCCCATTTTGACAGATATATCACAGCTTCTTGCATAAAAGCTACAAAGAAGGTTGATATTTTGGGAACCTGAATGTCTGAAAATGCCTTTATTCTACCCTAAAAGTACTCCCTCACTGTCAGTTGTAGAGCTATCAGACATATCTCATCCATGAGTCTTTTGATACTTCTTGGTACAAATTGAGTTTTGTGTGTTTGGTGTTGGTTTTTCTCAACAGCACTGGACACTGCTTTCCATATTTTCCTTCCTAAAATATTATCTTCATTCTGTTTCCAGGACAACAGTCTTTCCCAGTTTTTCTTTTTTTTTCTGGCAGCTCATTTTCAGTCATCCTTAAAAGCTCATCATTCTTCTCTACTTGCAGCTCCTGCAGGATCATTTTGGGCCTTCTTTTATTATTCTTTGCATTCTTCCATGTCAACATTCTACTGTCCCTTTTGTTCAAGTAGTACTACTCACTGATAATTTCTCAATATATACATTAGTTCTCTCCTCTGAGCATCTGTGTAACTCTCAAGTTGATCTCACTCCATAGATATTGCAAATGTACCTGAATTTCTGAATTTTTCAAGCCTGAGTCATAAAACTTTTCCTTTTCTTAGTCTCCAATTGCTTTTTATCTGAATAAATAGCATGGTAGACTGTTTACACAATTGCTTAAGGCAGGACAGAACTGGGAGTCATTGTTAGCACCTCCCTCTTCCTGAAGATACCCCCCATGCTGCATCTATCACTAATTCCTGCTGG
The DNA here is from genome assembly GCF_000001405.40 of Homo sapiens. Lineage (NCBI taxonomy): Eukaryota > Metazoa > Chordata > Mammalia > Primates > Hominidae > Homo > Homo sapiens. The sequence goes on along the minus strand of NC_000013.11, from coordinate 72,144,614 downwards.
TTTTCCACCAAAATCTCTCTCACATTATCCATTCTTTCCATCTGCATTACTCACTCCTGATCATCTCTCTCACAGACGAAGGTATCAGCTGACCAAATTGTCCTCACACTTTTATTTGTGTGTGAGGACAAAGAATACTTAACATCACATTCAAAATTATCTGCATTTGGTTTACTCCACTGTCCTCTGAATTCTTGAGAGCGATGAGTAAAAGTGGTTCAATGGCCTTTCTGGTGTTGTACAAAGAAATTGTGTTCCCAGGTGACTTGCAGGCTCCTCAAGCCAGATCTATATGAATAGAATCCCTTGGCTAAAAGAGAATAATAATTAGGCCGAGTGCAGTGGCTCACACCTGTAATCCCAGCACTTTGGGAGGTCAAGATGGGAGCCTCACTTGCGCTCAGGCATTCAAGATCAACCTGGGCAACATAGTAAGACCCTGCTTCATTTAAAAAAAAAGGAAAATAATAATTAAAGCTCTGTCTTAAGGAAATGATAAATGCTTGAGAGGAAGGATAGCCCAATTACCCTAATTTGATCATTACACATTGTATATCTGTATCAAAACATCACATATAAGCCACTAATATATGTGTTATGTACCCATAATAGTGAAAAATAAATAAAATTAATTTAAACATTAATAGAAACCATTATAACAAGATATCACAAACTGCCCGGTGTAAAACAACAGAAACTCATTCTGGCACAGCTCTGAAGGCCGGGCTTCTGCCATCAATGTGCCAACAGGTCCACACTCCCTTTGGAGGCTCCTGGGGGAAACACGTCCTTGTATTTCCAGCTTTTGGTGGCTGTGGCATTGCTGTGTCTGCATCATTCCAATCTCTGCTGCACTTCTCATGACCTTCTCCTCTGTGTCTGGGTGTCTCCTTTTCTGTCTCTTATAAGGATATTTGTTATTGGATTTATGTCCCACCCAGACAATCCAGGATGATTCCATCTTGAAATTCCTAACTTAGTGATATCTCCAAAGACTCTTTTTCTACATAAGGAAAAGAGTGACATTTGCTGGTTCTGGGTGGACATGTCTTTTGGGGGCCATCCCTCAACTCGCCACACAAGTCAATAGGATGTTGCCTGAGTGATTAGATTCTAAACCCATAGTTCTCAATGGGGGGGTGCATTGAGAGATAATGAATGTTAGGAAAAGCCTGTTGTCCATCAGAATCTGTTGAAGGATGGGTGCGAGAAAGGAGAGAAGAGGTGAGTGTGTATGTTTTTGGATTAGGCTCCCGAAGTAATTCTGTCTTACTTCCTCCAGAATGAGAACCTTTGCCTTGCATAATGAGCCCCCAAAATATCTTATTTTCATTCATTTGTACAATTTGCTGCAAACTGTACTTGCTTCTGAGGGATCCTGGAAGCAGAGCTCACTTTCACGGGTTTTTAAGGTAATTCTTGCACATAGCAAAAAATGTCTAATGTGAAGGAAGCTTTTCCACTTTTCTACGCACTGTAGAACTCTAAAACTCAAAAGGACTACAAATTAAACAAAGGTTGTTGTCATAGAATACAAAGGTAGTTATATTAAAGAATACAAAGCTGTTTTGTGAAAGCCAGGGAAAATAGCTGTAAGTTGTTTCGGGGAAGATTCAGTTGAACTGTAAGAAAGAAGTTAGTTCTCAGTAAATGTTTGTTGAATTTGAATTGAACTGTTAGTGAAAGAAGTTCAAGCTATAAATGATTTCCTTTAAATCAAGGTGGGCTTTCATCTGGCCAGTGTGGCAAAATTGTGATCTTGCCTAAAAAATAGTAAGGAAAGAGACCAATGCTGGGCTAAGTCCATTGACAGATGGTATCAACCTCACATCACTTAGACGATTAATAGAAGTTCAGAACTCAGGTCTCAACTGCAGAACCACTGAATCAGAATCTGCATTTTAAAAAGATCCCCCAGGTAATTCATATATCCATTAAAGTTTGAGATGCACTGGACTAAGCTAATTTCATGTGCTTCTGCTTTTGTGAGTAAGTGGAGCAGGTTTTAAATGGGCCACTTCTGTAGGTCGTATGGATGCCTGGCTTGTTGAAAGCCTGCTCCTTGATTAGGGGCGTTAACATTAATTAATTCTCCAGGTTGGCCCAAGATGGTCCTTCCAGGTTTTTGCACTTCCAACAGCTGCTAGAAGGAATGTTGCACCAGGCAATGAGAGACTTTCAAAAGGGAGCAGTGACGTTTTCTCCTTGGTGGAGTGTTTCATCAATTAGGAAACAGGACCCCATTCTTCCTCAGAAATGGTAATATTGGTGCCTTAGTGAAATTCCTTTTCATCTCTTATGAGCTGTATTACAATTCTAAGTAACTTGGCTCCCATCCCAGTGTCTCTACAGTTTTTCTGAGTGCAGGCTGCCAGATACTATGACCTACAGAACCACGTCACCCCTTCCTTTTAAAAATGGTTTTAGAATATAACAAAAGCCCACTCTTTCTCAGAAGGATGGCAGTGGTAGAAAGTTATAGGATTCAGTATAGAATGACTGCTCAAACCAGCCTGGCTGAACTTGTTTTGCTTAAGAGCTAATCAAATCTGTATCATCGTACAAACTTTTATGCTTGCTTGGCCTTGTTTTAGAAACAATACCTTCTAGCTGTTGGGACTACATCCAATATTACACAACACAGAAGTGAACCTTTTAGAAAATATTGCTCAGTATGAACATGAACAGTAGAATTAGGCTTCCAACACTAAGCATTTTTATCCTGAAGAATTGCTCAATAATTTTTCTATAGTAGTCATACTTTTAATTAAAACATTTTAATCAGTGTATGCTTAGAGACAGAGGTAGAGAGCGATTCTAAACAAATCCATAGCAGTGAAGAGGTGACAGAGGGGTTCAAGGATGTTGCTTCATTGTTGTTGAGATAGAAAACACTGCGGAAGTGAAAAGTTTGCAAAGAAAAGTTGGAAATTTTTTCTAAAGCCTTTACTTAGTAAGAAAATAGGAATAGAGTTTTGCATTGCCATTTACTTTTTTTTATGTTTCTGAAAGGAAATAACTTTTTAGAAAATGAGCAAACATTACTGAGGAACTAGTAATTTTATTTAATGCCATTTCTAGAAATACTAGAAATAAATTATGCTTACAAAACATATTTTAGCCCTCTAGTCATCTGGTTATTAAATTAAGAAAAGGATATATTTTATAAATAATTTTATTACTATGTATTTTATCTTTAAAAAAATCTATATATATTAAAATGGAGCCCAGAATCTGGGCTTAGAGGAAACAAATTAATTAAGAGCTCAGACTTTATTATCAGATAAATGTGGTTTGCATTCTCACTGAACTATTTTATAGCTGTGTTACCTTGGACAAATTACCTAACCACTCTGTGCTTCACTGATCTCATTTAAAAGACAGAGAGAGAAAGAAATGCTTTCTTATGCTTAATGGGGCTGTTTTATAGATGAAATGCCAAAAATGTATAGAATGTGCTTGGTAGAGCAGCACTTACTAAGTGAACAATATTATCTAATTACTACTATTTTCATCACCCACAATACTTAAATGATATAAAAAACACAGCTTTTTAAGTATGCAAAAGAGTTAATTAACAATTATATTTTAATAAGTGTTATATTCTAGTTTCAGATGAAGAAGCTATATAATAAAATAGTTTAGTAGTTTCTTTCAAACCTATGCAAAAAATATTTTCCCATTAAGAAAAAAAGCAGACATACTACATAAAAAGTTAAACAAAAGAGACTTTAAGCCAAAATAAAACTCAGAAATTTATATTCTTCATGTTTATATTTAATTTAACTCAAGAATTTTATTTTAAAAATGAGATACTCCATAAACTAACACAAAATATAATTATTATATTTTGAGCACTTTCTATGTGCCAGACACAGAACAGATTGGCTCATTTAGTCTTCACAGTGACCCTACGAAATAGGTACTCATTTTACAGATAAGAAAACTGAGACATAAGAAAGTTATATAATCTACCTAAGGTCTCACAGCTGATAGGGAATGGGATAGTTTTCCAAGCCAAGCAACCTGGCCCTAGAGCCTGTCCTTAACCACCAGGCTGTGTCACTTGACTAACACCTAAAGATTAACAAACAAAAATACTTATTGATCAATCAATGAATATCACAATTGACTAAACCCAAATATGTATTCCCTGACACTCAATGATCTAAGGTTGATGTGTTTGCTAAAATTAAATAAAATATGCCTATTCCTAGTTAACGCATGCAAAGTTTTCTTACCCCTTCCTCCTCTTTATCTGACTTGAGTTTTGGTTATAGTACTCACCTCTCCCCCCAGCAATCCTACTTTCAGCATCCTACTGCTTTAGTAGCATTTGTCAGTTCCAAACTTTGGGTGTTAATTTGTGATGCTCCATTATTCAGGAACTACGGCATGCTTTGACACCCTCTCTCTTCCCAACACCCTACCCTGGCTCCCCAGTCTAGCTTTTGAATTGTCTCCTAAGATGCTGTGAGTTGAATTGTGTCCCCCAAAAAGACATGCTGAAGTCCTAGCCCCAGGACCTAAGAATGTGACCTTATGTGAAAATAGGGTTGTTGGAGATGTAAGTAGTTAAGATGAGGACATAATGGAGAAGATTAGGCCCCTAAGCCAATATGACTAGTGTCTTTATACGAAGAGGGGAACTTGGATGCAGACACAGAGACATGCAGGAAGAATGCTATGTGATAGCAGAGGCAGAGATTGCAGTGAAGCAGCTGAAAGACAAAGAATGCCACAGATTGACAGCCACTACCAGAAGCTAGGAATGGTCAAGGAAGGATTCTGCTCAGAGTGTCTGAGGGACTATGCCCTGCTGGCAACTTGATTTTGGACTTCTAGTCTTCAGAACTGTGAGAGAATACATTACTGTTGTTCTAGGCCACCCAGTGTGTGATACTTTGTTAGGACAGCCCAAGGAAATTAATATAAATGCCCACCAAGCTTTTGATGCTTTCACCTTTGTAGCCCTCCCACGCCAAACCCCAATATCTCATTCCTTTGAATCTGGGATCTCAGAATTTCCCAAACTGAAAATCAGCTAATTTGAGAGTGAACATGAGGAGGATAAAAGGCAATCTAAATATGATAGTTGCTATCTTGCCAGGTAATGTAGCTTCTTTTGAACAACTCCTTTTGGTGAGAAGGTTTATTCATGTGTCACCTTATTTAATGAATCAACTCTGTTGTCAAGAACTTTGGACTGTTAGGAGAGAGGGCAGTGGCAGAGGGAGGCAAAGAAGGAAGTGTCTGAAAGCTGATAGGGTTGCTGCTAGTTATTGATCATGATTCCTCTAGCGTTATCCCTGAAAGTTCATATGATCCCTTCACAATGTTCTTTCCTGGCCCTCATTGTGGCTAAGTACAAGGATCTTGGTATGAGTCTGCAATGTCTTACATAGTTGTAGGGCCTGGGTCACGGTCTTTCTCTCCACTTCTCCCTCCAACACCATCTTCTCTATAGACAAAATATTCAGCACCTGGGCCTCACTTTCCCTTCATCTCCTTAACTTGAGCCCCCTCACTTCTACTCTGTAGTAGGAGTTGCTGGCCAGACCCATAGTCTTGACGTCATCATAATTCACAATCATTTCCAAGATATTAAATTTCAAAATAGCCCCTCCTCTGAATTCTCCAAATACTTTATTTTTTAAAATGCTATTCTTTCCTGACTGCTAGTCTTCCACCTATGTCCTAGAATCTTGGAGATCATCACCCTCCTCTGCATCCTTGCTTTCCTTACCTTTACTGACTCACGGCCAGTCCTCCCAAGAAGCTTCTATCTTTATCCATGGGGCCCTTGTATGGCCCTTGCTCCCTTAACTTTATACTGGCCCCTGCCTGTTTGACCACAACACTATTTTTCTGCCCCAGCTTTCAGGCAGTTGATTGTTTCTGGAGAAATTTGATCTATTATTTTCTACATAAACTTACGATTGTTCAACTAAAACTGGGTCTTCACACCCAGCATTCCTTTATATCATGACTTGATTCCCAGCCATGCTCCCAATGGTAACCAAAAAAAATTTCTAGGATTGTGCTTGAAGCCACAAAAGACAAGAGCACTTTGCCCCCTCTGTGGCCTTGTATACCTGACGATTTGATTTCAGCATCCTCAGTTTCCATATTTTTTAATGTTAAAGACTTGTTTTCCATTATATACCTGTGCCATAAATACATGCTGATTTGCTCACAGAGTGAAATGGGCTCTGCAAAAGTATGGATCCTTGTATTTTAATCCAGAGTTGTTTTGATAAACCCAGAAACGATGACGCTGAAATAAAGATGACTCGATGAATAGTGCTAAGAAATTAATTTTAAACACCATTTTTACCAAATTGCTCTTAAAAGTCTTGAAGGAAAATAAGGAAAAGAAAGAAAGGGCAAGGTAATCCTACATTACAGTTCCTCAGATTCTCCTGCTGCAATTATGCCCAGGACAGTTTGAACAGCCTCTGGCAGGAACCCACCACACAGACGGACACGGATTAGGAAATTAAAATCTGGGTTGCATAGGCACTCATATGTGACTTGGCACATCTTTTCCAAAACCCGCCTCCTTGGTAATTAAAAGAGCAGTGTTTATTTATCTATCTATTTATTTATCTTAATACAATACTGTTTTACAGAACTGGCAGCCAAAGACAGCACCTGGAATCTTACCTCATTTTCCCTGGGATCCCAGCCTCCACAGCTGTTCTAAATTTTTCTTAGAGTAAAAAACATTGGATAGTTCTCCCAGTGCTTTTTAAAAATCACTAAATACTTTCTCTCTCTCTCTCTCTCTGTGTCTGTCTCTGTCTCTTTCTACACACACACACACACACACACACACACACACACACACACACACACACACACACATCCCAGGCTGGGAATGCTGAGAGTTGGTATGCTGATGAGAAAACAAAACACTGGTTTTCTTTTTTTTCTTTCTTTGTATTTCAAATATTTTGAGAACAGGGAGTAAAACTTATATAATATCCAAAGTAACAGAACAGGACCAATGGGGAAAGAAGAGAAAATTTGAGAAAGAATCAATTAATTATAGAATAAAGTATACCATCACTAAAATTAAAAACTCATAGAATTTCAACAGCACATAAATTATGAGACGTTTTGCAAACTGGGGGAAAATATACCTAATTTTATTGGCCATGAAAATTATTTCTTCCAAGAATAGTGATATAGAAAATGTTTCTGTCTTTTTTAAATGCCTTGCCTGGTGTAGAACTACTTTCTTAATTCTTAATCTGGGCATTTCAGAAGGATATTTTGTCATTATGAGGCCAGGCATGAAAAATCCTAAGTCTGTTTAAGCCATTTTATAATGCCAAATATATACCTTAAGCCTAAACATCTTTTACTTTTAAGATATATTTTTACATTGGAGGATTTTGTTATTATCTACTTCATGTATGAATTGAATATTTGTTGGACTGTTAAATAATAATAGTTATCACTGATTAAGTATTTACTTATTCCAGGCTCTCTGTGAAGTATATTACATGCATTGATCATCTAATTCCCCGAGACTTTAAGGAGGTGTAATTAGCTTCTCCTTTAGTAGATGAAGAAACTGAGCCCCAGGCTAAATTTCCAAAAGTACGTAGACAGCAAGTGCTGAGATTTGAACCAATGTAGTTTATCTTTGGATCCATACTCTCAATGGTAACATGCTCCATGTGTACAAACTATCAGAGAATCAAACAATGAGTTTGGATTCAATAAGAAATTCTCAGTTTTGTCTATACAAGACCAAGCAACTGATTTAACCAAGATTTTTCCCCCGGTTGAATTGGTAGCTTTTTTTTTTTTTTTTTTTTGTAACCAACAGGATCCTGTATCTGCAATAGTTTCTCTCCTTCTAAATAATCTCTCTTTTTGCTTTCTTTTTTTAAATACTGTTTTAGAACAATCACCAACTTAATTTTTAAATTCTTTCCAGAATTCTTTGACATGCTTTGAGTTCTAATATATATATATATATATATGTCTAAAGTTTAAACCAACATCTGACTTGGGCTAGAACTTGAAGATGTAGAATTGCAGTTTTGAGCCTCTTAGCTCTGCAAATAATTGTTTTTCTGACCTGCTTTTATTAGTCGACTGGTTTTGACAGTATACTGCTGAGAGAGCAGAATCTGGGAGAAACTTAGCTCTGAATCATCAATGAAGATCTTTGATTGTTATCGGATTCCCCTAGTGCAGGTAGATCTATCTTCAGGTTAATTTTCAGTCTTTACCTTTGTGCTGACTTTTCCAAATGGTCTACAATTTACATGTCTTTTGTGTTTATGTGAATGCTTCCAGAGTACAGTCATCAGCATCCTGAACTTCCTAAATGCCTGTCGCAAGAAATTTTATGACTCCTACAACCTCTTAGGTGAAAAAGTTTTCAGAAAGATAAAAAAATTCAGCCAGATTCAGCTTCCAGGGCTCCCATTTCATCTGAAGCTTGTCTTTCTTTGAAAGTGGTTTGAATAATAGTTTATCTTATACTGTGGACTAAGGCTTAGATACCCAATACAAAATCTACCTTACACCTGTCAGAGGATGATTGTCAACAGGCCAGTATGTACTGGCTAAATAAATTAATATAGGAAGACCCTGATGCTTGACAAATATAGTGTGGGAAATACATATAGTGTATATGTATATATATATATACACACACACACACACACACAATATATATAGTATATATAGTATATCTATATTATATATATATAGTATATATATTTTACTAAGGCCTTATAGTCACTAAAAACTGAATTATGTTTTAATAGAGGTATAATACAGTAGTATTTGGTGACTTATTTTAAAAATAATGTAACTAAAAATTAGTCTTTACGGTATAATAATGATACTTCAAGACAAATGCTTTAGTTTTTCTACAAATATAAAGTAATACTCACCTGGATGTTTGCTATTTTTGGCTGATGTAATATTTCTCAATTATTAGTAAAATATCTTCCCATAAAATGTCATCATCTGTGTCACATATACCCTTATGCTTAGAAAGAGAAATTAGTGGTTAAACAAAAACAACTGACTTATTAAGAAAGGAGAAATTCCCTCAGAGAGAGTTTTAGGAAACATGGAAAGATTTTTAAGTCTAACATATTCGTGTACTTGCCTCCGTTTAGGCTTAACCGTAGCATACATTTTTGATAATGAGACATCCTTGCTGCAAAATAGAAAGAAGAGAGTGAGCCTGGGTGGAGAGAAGAAGATGGAGGATAAATAATTTACATACAAAATGTAGAGAAATTTCATAGCAGAAGTGGTTGTGTCCCAAAAATAACACCATTTGGAAAATTACATAAAAGGAAGCATAGCTTTTTCTAAGACATCTATTATGACAATAACAAAGAACTGGCTTTCTTATGTTTAAATAATTTTATTTTTTTCTATAGTATATATTTGTATCGTTTTCTTGGGCTAACATATCAAAGTACCACAGAAATTAATTTCAACAACAGAAATTAATTTTCCCACAATTCTGGAGGCTAGAAGCCTGAAATAGATAAAGGGTTAGCAGGGCTGGTTTCTCCTGAGACCTCTCTTCTAGGCTGGACAAGGCCATCTTTGGCCTATGCTTCCCTCTGTGTCCTGAACTCCTCTTCTTACAGGGACACCAGCCATATCAGATTAGGGCCCACCTTAATTACCCCTATTTAAACTTAATTACTTCTTCAAAGACCTTATCTTCAAATACAGTCACATTCAGAAGTACTGGAGTTACAACTTCATCATATAAATTTTGGGGATCATGATTCAGCCCATATTTAGATGTTTATGTTAATTTTGTATATCTGTTTTTATATGTAAAGATTCTCTGTCTTCCTCCTTTTTCCTGTAGATCTCAAGTTTCAGTAAACATGACATGTGAATTCTTCTGTTTCACAGAAAATGATCGTACATAAGGGCAGATGCTTGATCATAAGGAGAAATATTTGTTAGATTATAACTTCAGTTATATATTGGCTATCAAACATATTCTCGCTGATTTATTTTAAACATTTAATTGTTTTATGTGTTTAAACCAAATGTTCTACTCAATAAGGCTAGTCAGTCACATGTATTTCAGGATATTGGTAGTAGCTAGATTTTGTGTCCTAAAATAAGGTGCTTAATAAATTCATACTCAGTCATTTAAATAAAATTATGGCAAACACCTTCCAATTGTAGAAACAACTTTAATATAGTAAAAAATTAAGTAAAATGGTTATATATTTGGCATGTGTGTGTTTGTGTATGTGTGTGTAGGTGTATCTTTGTGTGACTATGAGAAGGTGTTTGGATTATTAGATTCTCAATGAAAAGTTAATTCACATATTTTTACATTATTTTAAAATTAATTTTATGTGTATTTTAAAAATCTTGATTTTTGAACAAATTTATTTTTCATATATTAAGAATGAAATTATGACATGTGATAGAAAACTTTTTAAACAGTATATAATCATTTAGAAAAAGTAAACTTCAATTCTATTCTTCTAAACATTTGCTGTCTTTTTTTTCTAATGCAACATTCACACATTTTACTCAATGCTACATTCAAACAACTTAAACTCCAAAAAATAATTTAAAAGTTGTGTTGTCCCCATTGCACATTTTACACAATCTAAAGAGCTAGCCTATTGCTTCCAGAAAACCCTAAGAAATTTCTGCACAAATCTTGCTATCCAAAATACCTCTTCTTTTCTGATTAATTTTTAGCTCTTCCATTAGAAAAAGTGTTTATAAAACATTAATGGGCAATTTAACTTCAGTTTCCAGAGAGAGATTTCTGCTGCATCAGATCTTATATTTGCAACTATACAGTATTCCCTCTCTCAATACTTGCACTTATTTCCCAGTAGGTCTCACCATCTGCTATTGATGCCTGTCAAAAGTAGGAAATACTTCCTCAAGCAATTCTTGTTCAAATATTACTCTTTCATACTACCACTTTCCCAGGTTACAAATTGTTCCCGTATATTTGTACCCCAAAGTCAAATTTGCAGATAACTATCTTCAAAGGTATTTAATGACCAAGTGCCTTTTAATCTATTGAACCCAAAAGCAAAAAGGAAGAGTATCAGAAGTTTCAAAACTCAAAAGAAGAAAGCTGCCCAGCATTTTACATATCATACGCAGGTTTTTCCTAAACAGCTCCCCGCCACAACATTTTTTTTCATAAAATCCTAAAGGAATTTGTACTGTTTCTATGCAGATGTATGCAATTCAATTTTTGTTAGTAATAGTGCTATATTGAATTGAAAAAAATCTCATTTGCAATTACCTTTAAATTATACTATATATTCTGAAGTTCCCAATATGGAACATGTATCATTCATATATATATATATATATATATATATATATTTCTCATTTTAACAACATGGGATTTTTCAGATGACCTTTATTTTTGTAGATGCAGAAAAGGAAAACCTACCGTTTCACAGACCACAAGAAAGGCTATAAGAAACTTAACTGATAACCTGTGTATATTTACACAGACAATGTGACAGATACCCAACTATATAAAGAATAATATAATTCTGTTTCATTATATGTAGAAAGCAAGTATGCATACACAGATGTGTATTTGCAGGTATAGTGTGAGAATCCATATAAATGTACATTATTATTTTTGGGAAAAAAACTTGAACAAATATATCAAACTTCACCAATTGATATAACCAAATACATACTTCACAAAGGATAAATTTGTTTCATTACTGGAAATATGGGAATAATACCAACCCCATGTGTATCAGGTATCAATTGCCACAATAATGCCTAGTAACAACCTCAAAAGCTCAGTGATAAGCAAAAATAAGTGCTGTTGTTCAGGTGTCTGGGATCAAATGGGAGCCTGTTAGGCTATTGGATCTCTTGATCTTGGCTGAGCTTGTTCACCTCTTTGGGGATCCACTGTTTCATTTTCTCCTTAAGAACTTGCAGATAGACTATTGGCCTATCTAAGCTGGCCTTCTCTCAGAGGACTGGGGTAACTGGACTCTGTTCCATGTTTCTTTTATCCTTCAGCAGGCTAGCTTGAGCAAGTTCTTATAACAGAAGAGCCAAAGAGAAGAGTTTTTGAAGCTGGGCAACTGGCATGGTCTTGCTCGGAGTCCAAGGGGACAGTCACTAGAAAGTTACAGTTTAGAGTTATTTGGCAAAGGGTTTTAGTGCAGGAAGTGTTGAGGAACTGATGTCATGTTTCCTTCTTTCTTTCCTTTCTTTCTTTCTTTGTAGAGTTTTTGTTGTTGTTGTTGTTGTTGTTAGAAACGGCCTTGCTCTGTTGCCCAAGCTGGAATGCAGTGGTGTGATCACAGCTCACTGCAGCTTTGACCTCTTGGACTCAAGCAATCCTCCTGCCTCAGGCTCATGGGTATCTAGGACCACAGCTAAGTGTCATCATACTTGGCTTTTTTTTTTTTTTTAGAGATAAAGCCTCACTGTTGTCCAAGGTGTTGAACTTCTGGGCTCAAAACGATCCCCTACTTCTGCCTCCCAAAGTGCTGGGATTATAGGTATGAGCCATTGCACCCAACCTCATTTTTCCATCTACCAAAATGTGAAAGAACTTTCAAGCAGCTCTTGAGAGCATTCCAGATAGGATAATCTTTAGGGATTTCATTTGTAGCAGAACTATAAACTTGAAACCATGTAAATAGAGAATTTCTAAAAGATAGTGCTAACGTGGTTATAAATCACACTATGTGGCAGAAACCAGTAGTTGCCTCCTAATACCCATTCTTCCCCTTTTTCCTTAGAAACAAAACCATAGGCAATTTGTTCAGCTAAAGGGACAAGTTACCTAGGCTCCCTTTTAGGTAGAAATAATCGATGAAATGTCATTGAAACTCTTAAAGGAATGTTAGGAAAACTTCCTAGGGAGTGGGTATGAGCCCTTTGTTCTTCTTTTCTTCTTTATTTTAGCCTTGCAATTCTAGGTCTGAATTTATTCTACCTGGAATAAATAGGTGAGTACCAGTAGGTATCTTGGATCGTTATGGAAAAGCAAAAGGTGAGAAAGACCCTGATTCCCTGATGAACATGGATCCACCAGGCCAGCTTTAGATGGAATGATACAGAATTTTCTAAATGTGAAAGAATATATACATTTATATTTTAACACTTACTTTAAGTTCTTTTCCCTCAAAATTGCATGCAATTTCTAACTGATAGGAAATGGAAATTTCATCACCCTCTGCCTCCAGATAAGTCTTCCCATTTTTCTCATAGATTCCCTCCAGTGTAATCCTAACAGAGCAAACAGAGTGAGCCTGTTAAAACATAAGTCAAATCATGTCATGTTTCTGCTCAAAACCTTGAAATGGCTTTGGTCTGCAATAACATATAGGGTCCCACATGTCTCGGTGACCCCCTTATTACTTCTCTTATGTCATTTGTATGACTTCGTCAATCACTATATTCCAATTATGCTGGCCTAGCTGATGTTTCTTGAATATGCCAAATATCCTCCCCACTTAGGGCTTTTGCTCTAGCTATTCCCCAGTCTTAGAATGGTCTTCTCCAAGATATCCGTTGACTTATTCCTTTGCCTCCTTCAAGTCTGCTTGAATGCCACCTTCCTTATTATGCTTATTCTAACCTTCAGGTTTATTTTAACCACTTTCTGTCATCTTTCCCTGGAATTTTCTTTCTCCCTCAAACCACCTCAATTTTTTTCATATCATTAATCACTTATATAGAGATTATTTTATAATTTATTGGTTTATCACTTTATTGTGTGACCCAATAAGTGACTCTAACCATAGATCAAGAAATACAAATACTAAACAAGGATCATGAAAGGCATTATCTAGGCAGAGCAATACAGCCAAAACCACTGAGGAGGTTTGAGACATCCACCGACTCATTTTCTCCTTAAGAACTTGCAGTAATGTCATACCATTTCTTCTTTAGTATACCTCTTTTAGAGTTTTTACGCAGCTTAGTTCTATTTATGTTTTTATAAAAACACACTGTTAAACATTAATACAAGTGTTAGAAAAGTATACCTTTCATTACTTAGAGAAAATAATCAAAGAAAACATAGTACATGTTGTCTAAGAAATATTAAAATAGTATAGAAATACAGAATAAAGCATTAAATATTATCAAAAATGTAAAATGATATATTATAATAAGTAAAAATTCGCAAAATTGTTTTATTAAAAGGAATCACTGGACTTCTGCTTCTAGGAAGATGAAGTCAATGTGATTTTCCCTATTCCTCTGCTAAGCACAACTAAAAACTCTGGAAATTATATGTAGAACAATTTTTCAAAATTTTTTTATTATTTACTTATGTATTTATTTATCTTTTGAGATGGAATCTCATTCTGTCACCCAGGCTGGAGTGCAGTGGTGCAATCTCAGGTCACTGCAGACTTTGCCTCCTGGGTTCAAGTGATTCTCTTGTCTTAGTCTCCCAAGTACCTGGGACTACAGGCACGTGCCACCATGTCCAGCTAATTTTTGTATTTTTAGTAGAGATGGGGTTTCATCATGTTGCTAAGGCTGGTCTTGAACTCCTGACCTCAATTGAGTCACTGCCTTGACCTCCCAAAGTGCTGAGATTATAGGCATGAACCACTGCACCCGGTTTGTAGAACTAATTTAAAGAGACCCTGAAATATAGTAAGAAGGCGGAATGGCTAGGAATGACGTAGTGATTAGTTTTCTGGGTCTTCTTTCTGCTCATATAATCCAAGCTTGGTGAAAGCCACTAATCCAGAAAAAAAGGTGGATGTAGATTTTTTTGGAAAAAAATAAAAAAGAAAACAGTTAATGTCTGCTCTTCCTAGCTAAAGTACAAGGCAAGGGGCAGTCTAGAAAGAAAACATTTTGTTCATAACTTCTCTGCCAGCTAAACACCATAGAGAAAACTGTGGCCAACTCATACCCACACCAGCAAAGGCCAAGTGAAAAGTCTAGACTTTCACACTCAGGAGGTAGTAATGAGGCACCCTGATACCCGAGCCAGGGTTGTATAAGAGAAGACCAAGTCAGCTTTCGGGAACTTCATTTCTGCTAACTGGGAATGAGGCCCCTATTATGGTGTCAGTATAGACTACATGTGGATCTTGAAGATCCACCCCCTGTGTAACAGTAAACAGATAGCCTTCTCCTCCCTGGGGGTCATATGGGAGGAGGCCTACTGGAGAGTAAGAACTTTCATTGTCATCCAGTGGTATGAGGTCATATCCACTGATGTCAGTAAAGATCACGTGGAAGCTGTAACTCACACATAAAACAATAATGAGGGGGATTCCCACTTGGGTGTCAATGGAGGGCGAGAAGCCTATACCTCTACTTCCACCTGGCTGTAAAGATGTAGCACCCCACCCTTTCCTTGCCAGAGAAGTAACAGAAAGTCAAGATAAGATCCAGAGACTCATAATATAGTATGAAAATGCTCCGGTTTCAGGAGATTATGTATCATACAAAGAAATGAGGAAGTTTCAAATTGAGTAAAAAGACAATTGATGCCAATAGCAAGATGATAGAAATTTAGAGTTATCTGACAAAGATTTTTAAACAGCCAAGATAAATATACATCAACAATCAACTGCGAGCATTCTTAAATGAAAAAATAGAAAGCCTGAACAAAGAAATAGAAAGTCTAAGCTAAGAGAGAGATCCAAATGGTTTAATGGATGGGCTTAAGAGCAGAATGAAGGTAATAGGGAAAAGAAATCAGTGAACTTGAAGATTAAACAGTAGATATCACCCAATCTCAACAAGAGAGAGAAAAAAATAGACCGAAAAAAAATTGAACAGCGACTCAGAAATCTGTGGAACTCTAACAAAAGATATGACATTTATGTCTTTAGAATTTCGTAGGAGAAAAAAAGTGCAGGGCTGAAAAAATAGAAGAAAAAAATAGTGGCTAAAAACTTCCTAAGTTTGACAAAAGCCATAAAGCTACATATTTAAGATATTGAATGAACCCAAAACAAGATAAACTTAAAGAAATTCACATCAAGAAACAGCTTAATGAAACTTTTGAAAAACCCAAAATAAAGAAAAACTTCTCAAAAGCACCAGGAGAAAAGAGATACTTTATCTAAGGAAGAAAAACAATTGGAATGACAGCAAATTTCTCATTCAAACCCATGGAGGCCAGAAGAAAGTGGCAAAACATTTTTAAACTACTGAAACAAAACAAAACAAAAAAAACTGTCACCCAGAATCCTATATCTAGTAAAATACATCCTTTGGGAATGAAGGGGAAATCAAGACACTCATAAATGAATAATAGTAAAATAGGTTGACATCCCAAAACATACCCTAAAAAATGGCAAAAGTAAATTTTCTAAGCAAAAGAAAACAATAAAGGATGGAATCTTGGAACTTTAGGAAGGAAAAGAAAAATTTGAGTAAATGCAATAGGCTTCCTTCTCTTGAGTTTCTAAATTATGTTTAACAGCTGAAACAAAAATTATAACAAGGCAGGGATATCCACTCTCACAGCTCTTATTCAGTATGTTGCTAGATGATCTAGCCACTGCAATAAAGCAAGATAAGGGGTAGAAAATGTATTCAGATCAAAAAGGAAGAGATGAAACTGTTCCTACTTGCACATGACATCTAGAAATTCCCAAGAAATCTCCAAAAATATCTTAGAACTAATAAGTGAGTTAAGCAACTTGTAAAGTAAACATACAAAACTCCGTTGCATTTATATATACTAGCAACAAATACAGGGACACTGAAATTAGAATATAATGCCATTTACAACAACTCAAAGAAAGAGATAAATACTTAAGAGCCATAAACCATTAAATGGAACATAGAAGGTACACACTTAAATGCTGAAGAGTTTAGTATAGTCTGAAATACAAATATAACCATGAATATCTATATAGATATAAAGTGGCGTTACATAAATTTTGTTTAACACTAATTCCAAGAGATTGCCACAAAAGAGGGCATGTGCTAGGTGAATAGGTGAACATCCAAGATAATTTGGGAAACTCTCAATATTATACCTCCGTCTTTTAAAATTGGTCCTCATATGAGCAAATCAGAGCTTTATAAAATTCTGTAGTAAAATCCCACTTTAATGCATTCCAGCATTTTTGACCTCAGAACGTTTTTTCCAATTAATTCTGAGAGCCCAGGTTAAGCTGTCCAAGACTGATCTGTTGAGGGCTGGCCTTTGAAAGAAGAATTTGTCCCAGAGTTGTTGTGATAATACAACTCACCAAAGGCAAGGCTTAGAATCCAGCCCTCTGTCTCCATCATGCCAGGCAGGATTGCTGACAACAATCACGAACAAATATGTGACTCCTGTCAATAGCTTGCCTCTCCCCACAACTGTGAACACACAGTTAGAATCCCAGGCATCTGATCAAGCCAGGGGAAAGGCTAGCCTCTTCCCCAAACCCAAATGCTGAGCTGGCAGGATGGCATCCAGGTAAGGTTCTTGCCTGGCTTGTTTCCATACACCAGCTCTTGATCATGCAAGGGGCAGGGCAAAACTTCCTTAATCAAATAATATAAGGACCCTGTTGCCTAAGGTTGGCTCTGACCCATATATATTTCTGGTGCTAACCTAGAATATACTGGGCAAAGGGGGCCTAAATGCTGCTTCTCCTTTGTCTCCCTGCGTTTCTTGCAAAAAACCCTGCTCCAGTAGGTCTGGCCCCTTCCTCTGATGTGTGCTTTTAAAATTTCAGCTCAGATTTACAGATGGGCAAGTTCTTTAAATTTTTCAAGAAAAATTTTTGAGTATAAAAGTTTTTGTAGAATAGAAAAATACGTAAACCTTCTTAATTCATTTTACAAAATAAGACTTTTTGTTTATCATCCCCAACAGACATTTACCCTCACTATCCCCAATCTAGGAATTCACTTAGCAAACTCCTCCACTTCATTCTCATGAATCACTTACTCGTTTCCTAAGTTACTTTCCCTAAGGAAAGTTTCCGATCTCTGGTAGAGGTTTTTATTTTATTTTCCTCTCCATATTATTTATTCCTTTTGTGCCCTACTCTGTTTCAACTGATGATTCATTGCTATTCTTGGACCTAGCCCTTCCTGACTAAATATTGGTTTAATAAATGAATGTGTAAATGTGCAAAGTTAACTTTATCAATACTCTCTTAGATCCAAGACATCACAGCTTCCACATGTACCTAATGTATCAAGAAATTAAACCTGCATATAAGGAAGTTTGAATTCAGGGAAAATGACAATAATTAATCAAAACCAAACAAAATGCAAAAGTGATCATTTATTTTAAAATGTATATTTACAAATACATTTGAAATATAAGTGCTTTCTAAAAAGATTATTTTCAAGTTGTCAGCAAGTTCTAGGAATCATATTCTTAAACTCTAAGGCCAGCTTCCTGGTGACCAAGATAGTCACTTGGAATCCAAAGTACACTCTGTCTTTGGTCTGGCTGGGATTTATTTTTACGTGCCTATGGCAAATGCTGAAGTATATGTTCTTTGAGTCACTTAAATTCCCTTAGGAAAGAGTTAACCCAAACAAACCCTTTCAGCAAAAGAAATTCCAATACATTTTTAAAACAATTGTTTAACTCGATAATCAAAAAGTTGTTTAAACCCTAATCTAAATCCTTTCCCCTATTACTGCTGTCATTCTATCAGTATAAAGAAAGGCACATGGTAAGTTGGCATAACCAGAATGTATAAATTCTAGGACATATTATAAAACTAAGTAACAGAGAGAGTCCAAGGGCACAATGCTATCACTAAGGAACCTATCCGTTTCTTCACAGTCATCATCAGTGAAAAGTGATGCAAGTAGGTTGACTTTGGAAGAACTTAAATTCTTGAGGCAATCACTCATCAAAGCTTTCTGCTCAACAAGTGATACAATCAAAACATATTTATGAGACAAAGCTTGCCCTGTTTCCTAAGCGTGGGGGTAAATCCTTCAGCCCAAGAGAAGAATTTATCAATTCATCTCCGACTTGCCAGAATACTGCCTTGAAGTCTCTATGCCCAGAACCTGCCTTGAGAAGTTCCAAACCTACCCTGAGTCAACCCAAGTACTTAATCTGCTCTGTGTTCCTTCTTCAAACATTCATTTTAATAATCCCAGCCATTTCAGAGCTGCTATACTGGTGGCCCACCATGATAACAGGACTGGGGTATTCTTTTTATGGCACTTGCTTCCCCAAAACACATATGTGAAGTATATACACTATTGGCAACATATTTTCAAAAAATAGTATAAAACAGCAGCTTTTATTTTATGACCTGGAAAATTATTAATAAGGTAGAATATAACCATGTAGTAGATGAAAAATAAGTCAATAAAACACACACTTTAGAGGTTTATACATAAATGTTTTAATTTTCTATAATAAGGAAGAAGATTTAGCAAAAATGTCCTGAGAAGAAATACTTTGACCTTACACTCAAATTATAGATTGTGAAAGTTTTTTCCCATCACAAGTAGTATAGTGGAGCTAGACATTAAGGAGACCTCCGGATATGCCCTTGAAAGGGCTTGGTTGACAAACACGAATATTAAAACTGACTCCATGCATAACAAGTTTCTCAGAAGTAACTGGTCACTGTAGTCGAGTCAAGCCAGTTTTAGAGATATTCTAAGTTTTCCTTCACTTAGAAATGGTGTTTTTTTCCCACAAAAGTGTACATGTTAACTTGGAAATACAGCAAAATGATTTTAATCTAATGAATTATGCCTTTCTTGAAAGTATCATTAGAACCTTGAACAATTATTTACTCTTTTGAACCTAAAATTTGAAACTTGTTTGCTCTTATTTTAAAAAGATGGTCATTTCAAATTTAGGTCATTTACAGAGAAAATATTGCTTTTTTTGTCTTACTTTTTATTGTCTTTTATTATTTTAATAGACTATTTCAAGTAGTCTTATTTACTTTTAAAAATACTTATTTCTAATAGTTGTACATTCAAGCTCACTTTTGAAAGAGGGTTCTGGGAATTTGGGGCTGGCTACATGTAAACAGTTGCTTAGGTGCCTACAAAATAATTATGCATCTAATAAGGTTTTAGTTTTAGTGATTTGACACATATTCAATGTAGTTGAGGTAAAGATGTACATGTTCTCCTAAGTAACCAAATGCATTGAACCTCCAGTGCATGCTCCAAAGTAAATTAGTAACATAAATTTTGGGCTTCTAGCCCCCACTGAATGCATTTAGAAATGTATGCTTATGAATGACATCTACATGATATATCAATATAGATTGTATCAATACATTATATAGATATGAGATAAATGTAGATATACGTATGTATGTATATATATGTATGTATTTATATATCTATATAAATCCTCACTTAACATTTCGGTAGGTTCTTAGAAACTGCGACTTGAAGCAAAATGGTGTTGATGTTGATTAGAAATCAGAGTTTTTTTCTCATCAATGTTATAACAAAATGACACGCATGAAAACATTATTCAAGCACCTGATGTACATCATTTTGTTTAAAGTTGCTGTTTCCAAGAATCTGTCAATGACATTAAGATCAATGACATTAAGTGAAGACTTACTGTGTGTATATGTATGTATATATAAATATGTGTGTGTGTATATATATATGTATATATACAGAGAGAGAGACACAGAGAGAGAGAGAGACTGAGAAATAGAGAGTTTCCAGTTATCTACTGTGCATAACAAACCATACCAAAACTTAGGGGCATAAAACTATACCTATCTTATCATGCTCATGATTTTGTGAGTCAGGAATTGGGGCAGACACCACAGGAGTGATTTCTCCTGTAGATGACCCCACTCATCTACTTCTAGATGAGTGGGGTCTCAGATGGAGAGAAACATATATATAGCTGGGTTGGTTGTGTCATAATAAAAATCACGGCCAGGCGCAGTGGCTCACGCCTGTAATCCCAGCACTTTGGGAGGCTGAGGCAGGTGGATCATGAGGTCAGGAGATCGAGACCATCCTGGCCAACACGGTAAAACCCCGTCTCTACTAAAAACACAAAAAAAATTAGCCGGGCCTGGTGGCGGGTGCCTGTAGTCCCAGCTACTCAGGAGTCTGAGGCAGGAGAATGGTGTGAAGCTGGGAGGTGGAGCTTGCAGTGAGCCAAAATCGTGCCACTGCGCTCCAGCATGGGCGGCAGAGCAAGACTCCATCTCAAAAATAAATAAATAAATAAAAATAAAAATAAAAATCACACCACATAGAGTTAATATGGCAAGAAAGACTTTGTTCAAGATTATTGCAATAGGGGAGAGAGATTTAACTCAACTCCATGGAAACAAAAAAGTCAGAGAGTTTAAGTGCTTGGATAAGCTAGTGTAAAAAGTATTGGAGGACATTAGAGTGGAGGTTGATCAATGTGATTAGGCCATCTGTATTTGCTAAGTTAGGCTCCTGCCCTGTGATAGAAAGTAGGAGATGGGAGCTATCTTTCTTGATGATTCAATTTTTTAAAAATGGCTTCTGCCAGGCCTTGAGAAAGGCATTCCTGGGTTGTAAAACCAGCAAGAGGCTGGAAGATTTACATCTCAAAAGGGCAGACAGTCAACAATTGCAAGCAATTTAAAGTAAATGTTCTAAGAAAGGAGCCAGTGGCTGTATAGTTAGAAAGAAAGCTGTCTAAAGTTTTGTCAAGCTGAGGAGATCTGTAAGGGCATCTGGTCAGTTGTCATGGTTTGGCTAGATTATATGTCTCGGGTCTACAGGATATCAGTTGCTTTCCTTAGTGGTTCTCCACATCCTGCCTGCTGGCCTGGCATGTCCAAGATGCCTTCTTTACTTACTTTTCTGTTTCCTGGCCTGGGATAGCTGAACAGTAGAGATGTTTGGGTTTCTCTGTCTCCTCACAGATGTTCCATGTGGATGTCTTCAGCTTCCTTATAACAGGGTAATCTAAAAATGTTAGCCTTGCAAAGATCAAGCGTTCCAAGAATCATGGGCAAAAATTGCGAGGCTTAATAGGACAGCATCTGAAGTCCCAAAATGTCACTTCCACCACATTTTACTGCTCAAGTCACTAAATGTCTTAGTGTTTCTATAAAGGAATAACTGAGGCTGGATAATTTATAAGAAAAATAAACTAATTTGGCTTAGAGTTCTACAGACTGTACAAGAAGCAAGGCACCAGCATGGGCTTCAGACTGCATATACTCATGACAGAAGGAGAAGGGCTATTAAACCTGTGCAGAAATCACCTGATAGGAGAGGAAGCAAGAGAGAGATGGGGGAGATGCCAGGCTCTTTTAAAAAACCTACTGTCATGGAAACTAATAGAGCAAGAACTCTCATATTGCTATGAGGATCAGCACCAAGTCATTTGTGAGGGATCCTACCCCATGACATGCCTTCCATTAGGTCACACCTCCAACACCAGGGATCATATTTCAACATGAGGTTTGTAGGGGACAAAAATTCATACTGTTCCCAGACCAAACTGAGGATCGGGCTGCTGTTTCTTGTGGTCCAATAACGTGATGCAGATGAACTGGGGAGGAAGAGAGTTTTAATTTCTGTAACCAGTTACAGGGAGAAGGCCTGGAAATTGTCACCAGACCAACTCAAAATTACAAAGTTTTCCAGAGCTTATATATCTTTTAAGCTATATGTCTGTGTGCAAGTATGCATTCATCTAAAGACATTGGTGATTAACTTCTTTTAATCTATATCTAAGGTCTGAGCCCTGAAGATCTTCTGCTGGAGCCTCAGTAAGTTTATTTCATCTAAATGGGTCTAGGTGCTGGGATGATTACCCTTTGTCTCCTGCTAAATCATAAAGGTTTGGGAGTTTCTTTACACCCCAGTAAACTTGTCTGTGGAGGCCTGGGGAGTTTCTTCAGACCCCCAGTAAAACTTGTTTAATCCTAAATGGGCTCTGTTAAGAATTCCTTCATTATATTGTCATGCTTCAAGGCCCAGGAAAAGCCTAGACAAAACTCTCTGTGGGCTCTTTGTTACATTCCAGCCATTGTATAGGGCACTGGCTTAATCAGCTTTTAACGTTTAACCTAGCTACTCAGTCAGTGCTGGGACAGTTGTAATGGAGGCTTGCGTTAGTGAGACATGGCTTGCCACAATACTATAGCACTAAGTTGGTTTAAATTCAAGGGGAGGAGTATTATACTCCACTTCTCAGTAGGAGGAATAGAAAGGAATCCGTGGCCATATTTAATATACCACCACTATGTATGCAGAGCAACATAGCTATACTTGCATAGTTTGTTTTTTGTTGTAGGTTATATGATGTAAGTACAGAACCTGCGCATTCCATACAAGCATAGAATCAGGTAAAAAGCATAACTGAAAATGAAATACACTTCAGAGGTGACAAATCAACACATGCTGAGTGGGGCATTAATGGACCCGGATCCTAGTCAGGGTTAGTTACAATTAGCTGTCTGACCTTAGGTAAATCAGTTAATCTTGAAGACTACTTCCTAGTCTAAAATTCAGTTACTTCAATTACCTCTATTGCCTTGATTTGTCTGATTAAGCATGCACTGAGAACACATATAAAAGGCCAAGTGACCATCATCATTAATTCACCATTAAACTTTTGATCATGATAATGCAGGTACTCTGAAACCCTAGGAAGAAAAACAACATATCAAGGATAAATGTGGTTAGGATAAATAGTGGTAGAAAATACATTTCTTCTTAATGAATCTGTTCCAGATTATTTTCTTCTGTATGGTCCTGCTCCTCTGCACGATGCAGAGGTTTCTGTTTAGTTTTGACTCTATCAGACTCCCAGGTAGAGCATTCTCACCTTTGTAGAAGTAGGAGTCATCTCATTGATTGTCTTGAGTAAAAGGAAATGGCTCATGCATCTTTTCTACATTATAACAAATGTCCTTTTGCATTATAATTGAATGGTGATTGTTGTGTTCAATCAATGGGAAAGGTTAAAGGAGCTCCTCTGCCAGCATTTTTAATGGAGAAGTCGATTAAGATTCAGTTTAATCATTCTGGCTGCCTCAGAATTAAAGCAACAAAGACCATCAATGGCACTATAATTACTAGTCTTTCTGTAAGTTTACACTGCTATTTATGCAGCTATAAATTTTATTATAATGCACAATGCATCTAGGTTAACTTGCTTTATTTGCAATGTAAAATATTTGCTTTAATTGTATGAAGAAAAAAATTGTTCTGATAAAGTATATATAATTCAGCTGAATAATTTTTTTAAAAGTCTGAGAGTCTAAGTGAATCAGTATGATACTCTGTGTTAAATAGTTTAAAGTCATGGCCTTAACCTTGGGACACTTGAGACATATTTCAGTTTATTGAACATGGAGACTAACATCTCTCCCAGGTGACTTTAAAGGGTCAAATGTATTATTCTAATCCCTGTTCCAAACAGAGAAAAGGTCATTATACAGTACCTACTGCATGTTGTAAAGAATGAAAAATTCACACTGGGGGCGTGGGTGCAAATCTATTTTAGACTTGGCCTTTAAAATGTTTTTTAAATTGAATGATTAAGTGGTGATGAACCAGAAAAAATACCTTGAAATTGATCCCATTTATTAATTAGTTTGCACATGTAAAGGTCTTTCTATAAATAGTCAGAAGACTAGAGAAAATTGTTCTTCTTGAATGGAGAAATGACTTTCAAACTAACCTTTTTTTCACTATAGAAATAATGCTTATAAATGCACTTATTACCATCCAATACTCTGCTTCTTCCAATATACATATAGAGTCCTATAAAGGGGTTTGTGTCTTAAAAGTTTATACTTGGTCTACGTTAACAAGCCAACTGTAGAGAACAACTCCATAGAGAGGAATGGATTGAAGAAACATACAGAATGTGTACTATTGTCTTGAAAATATAGCTTTGCAGTGAACATTGTAGAAGTGTTTGGAAAAGCAATGCTTTAGAGAATTTGAGATATCGGGAATTCAATTAAAGAGCCTGAAGAGCAAACAGGTGAGGAAATTTGTGAGGTAAGATGAAGCATTGTTTATGATTTAGTTCATGTTGGAGTAAAAAGCCTATTGAAAGAGAAAGCATAAAAAGAAAAATATGAAGCTATCATTCTCTAGGAAAAAAAAATTCAAACTTTTCCAGTACCCAGAACTTCCAGAACTTTCTTATAACAAAAAGGAAAAATAAAATTTTTAGTGCTAGAAGAGGATCCTCATTCTCAGCACCTTCATTTTATCATTTTATAGTTTAAAAAGCTGAGAGCCTGTGAAATGCACTCATTTTCTCACACTCACAAATCTAACTGGTAGAGATGTAGGTCTGGAAACCATGTTTCTGTCATTCTAGCTTCTCTGCATTTTCACACTTGTTGGGGCTAAACTACATTCTAGAGTTTGTGTTTGACTTCCATATGCACCGAATTCTAAATGTACATTTATTTTGCCTGGGTATATGATCAATCATTAGTGCCTTTACAAGATAAATATCTTCTGCCCTTAATTTCTTTAGAGGAAACCAAAGGCAGGAAATTAATACTTTTTGATCTATAAGCTAATGAATGTGTGTGACACATTGGAAACTTTAATGTTCTTAGTAGCCTTATCCAGTAGGGATGATGAACTCAGTTTTTAATATAGAAACAAGCTTAGAGGGGTAAATAACTTGCCCAAGTTCATAAATTGTATAGTTGCAAGGCCAGGGTTTTTCTGACTTGAAACCCACGCTGTTTCCACGACAATGTGGTGCATCCTTGGAAACAGTGGTTGCAACATCTTCAGGTTTAGACAATAAAGTATTCATACTACACCTTTGATTGCCAGAGAAATCTATATCAATTGATTTTTTTAAATTATGCATGCATTTTTATAAGTTCTTTCTCTCATTTGTGAACTTAACAATGCATTTCAGTTTTACTAATAAAGTGCTATTTTTTAGTTGAAATTATGAAAATTGAATTTTATTGTATAGTGTATTAGGAAAGATAGATAATTAGAATCTTGGGAAAGCTTTTATAATAACAGATTCTTTGGAGGCATATAAAAATTTTCTATTACATATAAATAGTTTATTTTCGATACCTAAGTGATATTACAAATTATCAAAATTCTACTAAAATACTTTAGAAATTATACATAATATATTATAAATAATCTTCACCATGTAGTGGATTTTAACTTTGTTTAAAAATAAGTCTATAAATGCAATGCTCATGAAGACCAAAAACATTGAAAAGTAAAAATATTTGGCTTATAAAAACCAAAAACAATGTATCATTAAACCTATGCTAATTCAAGTTTCCATTTGATGCAAAATTCAGAATTCGTTTTAAAATTGTAAAGCAGGCCTGTTACTTTGTTAAAACTAAATGCATTTACTTGTAGCTAAATAAAATGTAAGCTATCAAATAGTGAGAATTTAATAGAACCTCTCTCAATTAGGGTATTCCAGTGTATAAGTACAGAATTAAGCTTAATAAAACAAAAGAAGTATTCCTTCTTTTGTATAATATTTTACAATGGCTTATTTACTATCTATAGGTGGAAGGGAATAGAATTCCAATAGGGATAAATTTCCTATTATTATTTGTTGATCGATTGGCCTTTTTACTGTTCTGGATCAAATAGTACAGGTCCCTTATGAAACACCTTCAGTCCCAATGTGAGTCTTGGGCACATTTCATAAAAATATTGCAGGCCGAATAGTCATATTGCCCTTTGGCACCATGTACCATCTATAGTATGTTAGATGCTGTAACAAACAAATCCCACTGAAGTGACTTAACACAATAAATGTTTATTCTTTGCCCATATGAGCATCATTCCATAACAACACTCAAAGATGTGTGGTGACATCAGCCTGAGCCAGAGCACCTCAGGGCCAACTCAGGACATTTGTTAATTGGAAACAATCTAGATTAACAGATATTTGTGTTTTTTTTTTCTTAATGTTAAATTTTACTTTAATTGCCCAATTCATAAATATCTCTTCCTTGAAGTCACATGAAAGAATAATCAAAGGTTATTGAAAAACCCCTTTCCAGCAAAATGGCCACAGGTAGCCACATTTTAATCAAAATTCTCCACAAACATAGTCATTAGAAAGGCAAAGGAAGTAAATTAGTATCGATAATTCCTTGACATTTGGTGCAAGGTGCTGAACAGTGAACATGTCAAGGGTATTTTATAACTTGAATTTGTGTTGCTTTTGGTCAAAAACTCTTGGAATTGCTTCTTTTCATCTCAAAGCAGAGCATGAAATTTCAGGCTGGCATGAATAAATAGCATCTCCCAAAAGGCCTAATGAAGAGATGACCCTCAGATTACTACATAAGCAGCCAAGCACTCTGAGACTATAAAAATTAAACTTTATTATTATTGATTAAATTTTAAGCTCCTAAAACTTAATAAGGATAATCAAAATAATTTGAAATCTATCTCAAATTATCGAGGAATAGTCTTTAGTGACTTCAGTCCTCCAGTTAGAACATTTTTTTATTTTATTTTATTATTATTATACTTTTAGAGTACATGTGCACAATGTGCAGGTTAGTTACATATGTATACATGTTCCATGCTGGTGTGCTGCACCCATTAACTCATCGTTTAGCATTAGGTATATCTCCTAAAGCTATCCCTCCCCCCTCCCCCCACCCCACAACAGTCCCCAGAATGTGATGTTCCCCTTCCTATGTCCATGTGTTCTCATTGTTCAATTCCCAACTATGAGTGAGAACATGCAGTGTTTGGTTTTTTGTCCTTGCGATAGTTTACTGAGGATGATGATTTCCAATTTCATCCATGTCCCTACAAAGGACATGAACTCATCATTTTTTATGGCTGCATAGTAGTCCATGGTGTATATGTGACACATTTTCTTAATCCAGTCTATCATTGTTGGTTGGATATCATTGGGTTGGTTCCAAGTCTTTGCTATTGTGAATAGTGCCGCAATTACGTGTGCATGTGTCTTTATAGCAGCATGATTTATAGTCCTTTGAGTATATACCCAGTAATGGGATGGCTGGGTCAAGTGGTATTTCTAGTTCTAGATCCCTGAGGAATCGCCACACTGACTTCCACAATGGTTGAACTAGTTTACAGTCCCACCAACAGTGTAAAAGTGTTCCTATTTCTCCACATCCTCTCCAGCACCTGTTGTTTCCTGACTTTTTAATGATTGCCATTCTAACTGGTGTGAGATGGTATCTCATTGTGGTTTTGATTTGCATTTCTCTGATGGCCAGTGAAGGTGAGCATTTTTTCATGTGTTTTTTGGCTGCATAAATATCTTCTTTTGAGAAGTGTCTGTTCATATCCTTTGCCCACTTTTTGATGGGGTTGTTTGTTTTTTTCTTGTAAATTTGTTTTGAGTTCATTGTAGATTCTGGATATTAGCCCTTTGTCAGATGGGTAGGTTGCGAAAACTTTCTCCCATTTTGTAGAAGACATTTGTTAATTGGAAACAATCTAGATCAACAGATATTTGAAACATCCAATCCATCCGGTCAAAATGTAAATGGCACAAATATTCTCTACAGTTATTTAGGATATTGGCAAGAACACTTACAAAATACCCAGTTTTTAGTAAACTTTGTCCACCATGTCTACATGTTGGATTTTCTTCTACAGGAAAAAGAGAAGTATCAAGTTTTAGGGATTCACAAAATCAGATCTGTATTTAGAGGGATAATTCCAGTGGCATTGTAAAGATTAGTTTATTGAAAGGAGTTACCCAAATCAGGGAGAGAATTTTTGAAGTTATTGTCAGAGCAAGGTGAGGATTGGAAAGCAACAGAGTTGGAAAAGAGGAAGACAGTGGGGAAGTAGGCGGATGTGTATAGAAAGAAGCTGGCTGGCCATTAACCAATTGGATAATAGGGGTTAGGGAGACAGACATGACTCTAAGCATTCTAACTTGGAGAAATTAGTGAATAGTACTATAACTTCAGTGAATAGTGAGGATTTACTATATTGTTCATCCCTTTGTTCCTAATATTATTTGAACATATTAGCTGTATTCAAAGAAATTCTCCATTTCCCTTTTTTGTTTTGTTTTGTTTTTTGAGACAGGGTCTTGCTTTGTCACCTAGGCTGGAGTACAGTGGTGTGCTCTCAGCTCGCTGCAACCTCTGCCTCCTGGGCTCAAGGAATTCTCCTGTCTCATCCTCCTGAGTAGCTGGAACTACAAGCATGCACCACCAAATTCTCCATTTTCATAAAATGTCAAAGAAAGCCATTATCTCTTGTCACCTAGATTTAGGAAAATGGTAACCAAGTTAATTAGAAATAACTATCTAGTAAAGCTTATACTTTTAGGTTTATCCAATAGACTAGTTATGCTTTGACCTTTAACTTCAAATTCAATCTACCGGACTCTAATTAATGATAACCATACTGAAGAGTTTAGGGTGATATATCCTACATCTGCAACATATTTGAAATGGATAAAAAACAAAATGGATTGACAGACATATGGTAAAGCAAACATGGCAAAATAATATATATTTATTGAATTTAGGAAGTAGTTATATGAGTGCTTAATATGACTTTTGTTTTAAAATACTTATGATATTTTATTGGGGGAAAATCACTCTATGAAGCTTTTATCTGTCTTGCTCTGTTTCTAGCCTCACCACTTTCTGGGAATTGATGTATTTCCCTCCAAACACAAGGGAGGATATGCTCCCTTGGCTAAGTCAATCATGATACCCCATCTACCTGGCCAGAGTTATTGGTCTTTGAGTATTTACATGATCTACCACAAGCCAATGATAGTCCTTTTGAAACATGTCTCTCCTGGAGGTTCTGGGGGGATATCTGTCACCTCACAGAGAAGGTTCAAGGTTATGAGCTTTTAAGCAGGATATTCCCAGGTTTCAGGGAGAAGCTTAAGAGGGTAAATCCAACAGACAAAGCCAGCACATGAGGAAACTGAATCTCCTGATGCATCAAGACATCATGTCTCCTGAGATACAGTGACTCCTCGTTCAGATTCCCAGAGTCATTAATGCTACCCTGATACCTGCAGCCCATTCTTGGATTCTGTGAGCAATCCCAGAAAACTTCCACTGAATCTTCCCTTTTGAAATGTTACTTTGCTTAACCTAGTTCCAGTTGAGTTTCTCTGTCTTGTAACAAAAAGAATATTTGACTAACACAAGAGCTAACACATATATTGAGATACGGAGAACTCTAAGATGATGCCAGTGGCCTACACCCTTGTATAATCCACTCCTCTTGCACGTGGAACTACAAGCCCTAGAACTTGCTTCCAATCCACTGAATGTGCCAAAGGCAATGAGAGAGTCATTCCCTTCATTACCTCACATTATATATGACTCTGTCCCTCTGCCATCCTTGAGGAAGTAAGCTGCTGTGATGAGAGAGGACCTGTGAAACGGTCACTTGTTGAAGAACTGTGGATGGCTCCTAGTGGCTGAGTGGCCCCCACTGACAGTCATAAAAGAAAAAGTGGGGGCTTCAATTTTAAAATGCAAGGAACTGAATCTGCCAACAACCGAGTGAGCTTGGAGGAGGATCCTGAGTTCCAGGAAGGAATGCAGTCTGGCTGACAGCTTGAACAGAAGTCTTGTGCAGCTGAATCTGTACCTCTGATGTAAAAACACAGTAAGATTTTTTTTAAGTGTGTTGTTGGTTAGCTGCTAAATTAGTGGTAATTTGTTATCCAGCAACAGGAAACAAATACACATTTTCAACATATACCACATGCTAGCCAGGTACTATGTTCCAGGTTTTAGTTCATTATCTCATGTAACTTTATAACAATTTTGAATCTTAAGTCCTATCATTACAACCATTTGACAGGTGATAAACTTGATAAAACAGGGAATTCAAGAGGTTTAATCATAACATCAACACAGCTATATGGGGCGAAGCCTTGACTCAAACTCAAAATAGGCTGGCCTTGAAGCCCATGGGCCACTCTGTTGCCTCATTACACCTTCCCCAAACCCTTTCATTGTTAATGTGTCAATATCATACTATTTTAGTACAGGCCAGGACTATTGCAAAAGCCTAGCATTGCTTTTGCATCATGACCTTCACTATCCTCCTTTCTGCCAAATCTTTCACCAAATCAGGTTTCGTCATTATCTAGAAACTCTCTGATGGCTTCAAAATGCCTGTGGAGGAAAGGCCAAACTAGTCAGTGTGTTCAAGGCTTTCTGTAGTTCGATTACTTAGGTTTAGCAAAAAGAAGTTTAGATGTAAAATTGAATGTTTCATATATTCACTTGGGTTGGGTGGGAGAATGTAAGGAAAAAATAGCCTCACATAATTGCTTCTTCAAGTTTAGTGGAAGCAGCTAAGCTGTGGCTGTTTTGTTCAATCTAAGTATAAGATTGAGTAGTACATCTAAATGCTAACTGACTTGTAAGTACTAAGGAGATGAGTGTGCCAGAATGGAAATCATATGGGCCGGGAATTCCCCTTCTGTTGACCACAGAAGGTATAGGCATAATCTATCAAGAACAGAATGCATGCCATACTTTGTTCATTAGCATTTAAAGAGGATGTTTGGCATCAGACAACAAATATAATACTTGCAAGATCTTGGCAGCAGAATATTTGTCAGTTAATGACAATCCACAACTTTTAATAAAAAGACTAAGGCCCAATGTTATGTTGAAATTGTTTCATTTTTGCTAACTAAAATAAAACAAAATTAAATTTAAACCATTGCTTTTCCAAATACAACAGTTCCACCACAGTAATCAAACAGGAAGAAAAAAATGAATATTCTCTAAACAGCAGGGAGAAAATATGCTTTAGAAACTCTAAAGAGCCATCAAATTGTAATAACTTACCAAAGCAGACTTGAGAAAAACAAAATGACCAAACACAGGTAAATATATTATAGAAGTAGAAGTAAGGGAAGTTGTACTTCGTAGTTCACTACACGGCCTAGAGAGAAGCAAGAAAGAAACAGGTGTCATGTTCATTGGATTGCAATATACAACGCAATTGTATTTTGGCTCTATCTAGTTTCTTAGTCATAATGTTCGTATTTGTACATATCAGGAATTCAACAATATTCTTTATAGTATGATTTATACTAACACACAAACACACATACTGTTGTGGTTTGGCTGTGTCCCCACCCAAATCTCACCTTAAATTGTATAATCCCCTTGTGTCAAGGGTGGGGCCAGGTGGGCATAATTGAATCATGGGAGTAGTTTCCCCCATAATGTTCTCCAGGCAGTGAATAAGTCCCACGAGATCTGATGGTTTCATACATGGTAATTCCCCTGCACAAGCTCTTTTGCCTAACATTATGCAAGATGTGACTTTGCTCATCCTTTGCCTTCTGCCGTGACTGTGAGGCCTCCCAGCCATGTGAAACTGTGAGTCAATTAAACCTCTTTCCTTTATAAATTATTTAGTCTCAGGTATGCCTTTATTAGCAGCCTGAGAACAGACTAATACACTGCACATCTATGATTTGATTGTGCTTAATGATGCCACCTTCAAACTTCATATGATTTGTAAAAGAAAATTAGTTTGTAAGATTTGGTGGCTCAAAAATGCAGTCTAAAATGAAATTTTAAGTGACACATTGGTTTTTCTTACTACATATGTGTATGTGATTAAATAATATATGAATATGTTATATATATTACATTTTAATTAAATTAACATGCATATGTGTAAAGAAAAACATCTTGCATATCCATTTAAATATATAAAACTCAGTGTTGGCCAGGATGAGGCAAAATTGAAGCTCTTGCATTGCTGGACATATAAATTTATACAGACTTTTTGAATAACAATTCTGTCATGGATAATATTTATGCCTTTTAATCCAGTAATTCCTCATGTACTGGTAGTAAAATGTAAACTTTCACACAGAAATGTATCCTGCCAATGTTATTTATAATAATAATTTTATATAATACCAGTATTCCAACAATAGAGAACAATAATTTACTTATGTTGCACCCATATGATAGAATATCATCAAGCTATTAATATAGTATTTAAAAGAGATATTTATCCTGTGATTAAAATAATTAAGATTATTTATTCACGTATTCAACTAACTTAATAAAATTTTAATATGAACCAGACACTGGTCTATGTATTTGTATTGAAAGTGCTTCGAATATATAAAAGGAAGACATACACATATACCAGTAGGTTAACTAAATTATTATGTAGTTTTTGATAGAAGAATGTACTGAGAGCAATTGAAGGACAAGATAGTTATAGTCATGCTACCTGGGGTGGAGGTGGGGAGACACTAAGGAAAAACTTTATAAAGAGGGTAAGGCTTGGAGTAAATCTCGAAAAAGTGGTTCTGTAATATTCAATGGAAAGGTAAGCAAAATCTATATATAAAATTAAAATAATGACATCAGTATTTAGCTATATCTGTGTCATGGAATTGTGAGAGACTGCTATTTTCTTATGCTTTTTTGTATTTTGTATTATTTTCACAATGAATAGGCATTATTTTTTCCAGCTTCATTGAGGTAAGATTGACAAACGAAAACTGCGTATATTTAGGGTGCACAATATGATGTTGTGATATATGTATACATTGTGAAATAATTACTACAACCAAGCTGATTAATGTATCTACCACCTTACATCATTAACATTTTTGTGTATGTGTGGTGAGAACATTTGAGATTTACTCTTTCAGCAAATTTCAAGTGAATTTTCAAATTTCAAATAAGGACATGATTATTAACTGCAATCATCCTGCTGTACATTAGGGCTCTAGTACTTATTCATCTTATAACTGAGGGTTTACATCCTTTGACCAATATCTTCCCTTTTCCTACAACACCCAGCATCTGGTAACCACCATACTCCTCTTTGTATTGAGTTCAACTTGTTTTTCAGATTTCCTGTATAAGTGAGATCATGCGGTATTTGTCTTTCTGCATTAGATATGACATTCATGTTTTCTGGCTTATTTCTCTTGGCATAACGTCCTCCATGTTCATCTATGTTGTTGCAAATGGCAGAATTTCCTTCTTTTGTAAGGGTAAATAATATTATTTTGTGTATATACATATACACACACACACACACACACACACACGTGTGTGTGTATGTATATATGTATACACAAAAGAATATTTATATAGGCACACAAATCATATTTTAAATCTGTTTCCACTGGCATTTGAATGGATAAAGAAAATGTGGTTTGTATATATATAAAATAGGATATATATATAATATATATGTGTGTACATATATGTATATAAAAAGGATAGTTTGTTTCCATATCTTGGCTATTGTGACTAATGTTGCAATGAACATGAGAGTATGGATATCTCTTCAAACAGTGATTTTATTTCCCTTGGATATAAACCCAGAACTGGTATTGCTGGATCATATAGTACTTCTTATGGCTGTCCTAAGCATCATCTTTTAACGAATAAATATAAAGATGTTTGGAGGTAATGTTTATGCCAAGGCTGCTGGCTCCTGGCACTCTCAATGCAGCAAACACAGGAGGTGCCAAAGAGGTGCTTCACTTCCAGAGGCCGCTGCTGCCCACGCCACGCTGTGTGGTGTCCCAGGTGCAAAGCAGCTTTTATGTAGCCCTTGTGTCTCACATAGATCCATATAAAAACATTTTCTTCTGCCAAAGATTTTTCTCTCCAGAAGATGACAGGTTAATCCCTAGGTTTGTCCGTACAAAAATATTCAATCCCATATTATGATTCTCTCTACAGGAAATTTTCTTTAGATGAGTAATTTTCCTTAGATGAGTAACAAAACCACTCTTTATTCTTATTTAGTAGACACATAAGCAACAGAGGTACCTCTGAAGAGCCCAGATATATTTACATTTCAGTTCAGGTTCAGGCTAGGAATCCTAATTTTCAGGTTGAAATGTGGAAGGATGAAGTCAAGAATGAGACAAATGATACAGAAATGCAAAAAAAAAAAAAAAAAAAAAAAAGACAACCAATAAAAATCCATGAAGGTGTTAAGAAACAAAAACATTCAATAGGAAAAACTAGGATCTTTCTCAGATCCCATATTAATTATGACAATTTTCATAATACACATTGTGCCTTATATATTTATTGCTTCTTGATTAAATATGAGTAGGGTTTGCTTCTGAGGAACGAGTGGAGACGTGCACAGTGAGATTGAGTTTGGAAACCTAGAATAATGAACTGTTTCGCCTACAGAAAAGGGCAACTAGAGGAATAAATAGCCAGGAACAGCAAGAGTGAACGTAGCAAGGAAGAAGTGAAAGGTGAAGGACATTTTAACATGTCCCATCAGGAACAGTAAAACCTCTTTGGGTCTCTTGGCACAGGAGGGCTGAAGAGAGATGACACTCTTCGTTATAATACAGTAACTGCTGACCTTATCAGTCTGGAAAATTAAATAATCATTCAAGGGCTGAGCAAGGAAATAGTGAACTTTTACTTTTAACTCATAAACTCTCAGGTGATCCTGGGTATCTTTGTATTATTCAAATGATATCTGTTGAGATCGAGAAGCTGTGATGAACCAGACATTGCACCCAGGGGCTAGACACACAAATATGAAAGAGAGCGTCTCTCTTTAGACCAGGGAGACAAACATGCAGGAAAATAATTACACTACAATGTGATGAATGCTATTGGTGATAACATTATTTATATAATGAGGATCAGAGGAAAAAGAAATCTCCTGGGGGAAGGTAGAGAAGACTTCATACAAGAGAACACATTTAACCTGTGTCTCACAAGATAATTTGAAACTTAAAAAGGAAAGAAGACAGCAAAGGGCCTGCCTGGCAGAGAGAAGATCATGAACAAAGTCACAGAGGCATGAAAAAAGATGACGCTTTTCACAAAAGGATTTCAAGCCATCGGATTATACGTCAAGCACAGCACGGGGCATGATTGGATAGGAGCTGATTTTATGAGACCAATATAGCTGTATTAACTCAAACTAGCACAAGAAAAAAGAAAATCTGCAGAGTAATGCTACTTATGAACATAAAATAAAACAACCTGAAAGAAATACCAACACATCGAACTCAGGAGGATTTTAAAAATTACAAAAAGACTAATAGACCCTCTGTGGAGAAGACTTTAGAGCTGAGAATACTGGTTCACAAATTCTTTTAAATAGTATAATTATACCTTTTATATTTTCCTACTGATTATTGAATGTTAGATATTATTGTCAGATTTCAAACATAACAAAATTACCTAAAAAATAGGAAACAAATTATCGTGCAACTTCACCTTCCAGAGATAACCAGAGGCAAGGTTTTTCTTCCTATGTACCACAAAAAAAGCCCTATCTTGAGCTATGTATTATTGCCTGTATTTTATCCCCATATACAAAATAAGATAAGCATAGTTTATTTTTTACCTTAATAAAAATGTGGCAAGCTTTTAAAAAACTATATATTTACAGAATTGTACAATAATTTTAATAGGAAGAATTCCTACGAGTAGATTTTCTAGATCAAAAGAACATTGGTAGCCCATAAAAAACTGACCTTACAAATTTAAATTTTACATCCTCCACATCTTGTTAACACAGAATATTACCTATCTTTAAAATCTTTGCCACAGTTCTATAAAAACATCTTTCATCGGCTTAGCTTACATTTTTGAATAATTAGTTAAGATAACCATATTTTCACGCATTTATTGAGTGGCCTTTTCATGGTGTTGTTCACTTTGTGGGACTGGGGAGATTGTTCTTATTGATTTATAGGAGCACTTTATATATTGTTCATTCATGTTTATAAAGAGTCTAATATGTGTAAGGTACTCTTCTAAGCATTGGGGATAGGACAGTGTAGAAAACCAATAGTCTTGCCTTCAGGGAACTTACATTCTATTATGTGCATCGTTGGAGGACAGTAAAGAAATCACTAAGGGTGATGAGAAATGCTATTTTAAATGGGGGAGCAGGAAAGATCCTTCTGATGAAAAGAAATCTGAGCAGACTGAGACATAAGAGGATGGACCATGTAGATACACTTAGCAGGAGTATTCCAAGCAGAGGAAACAGTACATGCAGAAGAGTGGCTTAGTAATTTATTTGAACTTATATTTACTTATTAGTATTATAAATTAAATAATCATGTCTTCACTTCCCTTAGGAGAAGAACTTTGCACACTTATATTCCTCTTGCATTACGTTGACCTATGTTAAAAACTTTGGAAGCAGATGTTTGCTAATTCTGCTTCCATTATGTATTTCTACTTCAAGATTCTTTTCATAACTATACATTATACCTTCTACAAAGTAGCAATTATTTTTTTCAGAGTTTAAAGAAATTGTGGTATACATATATGATGGAATACTACTCAGCCATGAAAAGGAATGAACTAATGGCATTTGCAGCAACCTGGATGGGACCGGAGACTATTCTAAGTGAATTAAGTCAGGAATGGAAAACCAAACATCTTTGTTCTCACTCACAAGTAGGAACTAAGCTATGAGGATGCAAAGGCATAAGAATGGCATACAATGGACTTTGGGGACTCTGGGGAAAGGATGGGAGGTGGGTGAGTGATAAAAGACTACATACAAATTGGGTTCAGTGCATATTGCTCGGGTGATGGATGCACCAAATTCTCAAAAATCATCACTAAAGAAATTACTCATATAACTAAACACCGCTTGTTCCCCCAAAACCTATAGAAATTAAACATTAAATAAAATAAATATTTCGTTAATCCATAGGCTTCCTAATTAATTTATTTTCTTCTGTCTTACAATTTTTATCACAATACAGTTTTCATTTGGCTGGAATACTTCCTTAAAGATTTTTAAAAATATGATTTTTAAAAATATTGCCTACTGTTATTGAACCTTTTATTGCAAAAGTATCACATGGTCTTTCAGTGCAGAAAATAATTTTCTGCTCAAACCTTTCTTTCTTAGAAAGGTTTCAATAGTCTCATGTGTCTATTGTCTATGTCTTATCTTTCATCTCATAATTTGTAATTCAATACTCTTTTACTCCACACTCAAGTATAATTTCTGAAGTTGGATTTAAGATCAGTAATTCTGACTGAAGCCATACCCATTCCATTATTTCCTCATTTTTCTCAGGGATTTATCTTTGTGTTTTCGATTCTGCAAAGTCCTTTATTTCTATTTCTTGGTTTTCTTTTGTGAGTCAGCCTGGATCCAATCAACAAAATTTTTAATGCCATTATCTTTCAATTAC
The DNA here is from genome assembly GCF_000001405.40 of Homo sapiens. Classification (NCBI taxonomy): domain Eukaryota; kingdom Metazoa; phylum Chordata; class Mammalia; order Primates; family Hominidae; genus Homo; species Homo sapiens. The sequence goes on along the minus strand of NC_000013.11, from coordinate 72,106,519 downwards.
CACTGAGATTGAACAATAGACATTTCAAGTTCTCTTCTACCTCCTCCATTACAATGTCAGTGGGAGACACTTGATCTATCTGTGCCAATCAATCCCCTCTTGCACTTTCTGACTTCTGTTACATATCAAGTGAGTCTTCATTGTATGATCATAGTAATAAATATAGGCAAGCAATTGCCAGCAGAAAGATTATACAGCCTGTAATCCCAGCACTTTGGGAGGCTGAGGTGGGCAGATCACCTGAGGTCAGGAGTTTGAGACCAGCCTGGCCAACATGGCAAAACCTCATCTCTACTAAAAATACAAAAATTAGCTCGGCATGGTGGAGGGCACCTGTAATCACAGCTACTTGGGAGGCTGAGGCAAGAGAATCACTTGAATCTCAGAGGCAGGTTCAAAAAAAAAAAAAAGAAAAAAATAGAAGATTGTATAGCCCATTTGGTAAGTCTGCCTGGGTTTAAATTCCAGCTCTTTACTCCCTACCTGGATAGTGTACTTCTGTTTCCTCAGCCATAAAATCAAGATAATAATAACAGTAAAGTCATGGAATCATTGTGATAATTAACTATATGGAACACTTAGCCAATGCTTGATACATAGTCAGTGCCGAAATAGTGATAACTGTAATAATGGCTCACAGTGCTGTTAGCAGTAGAGCATCTTTAATTCCTTGTGTAGTATAGATCTGCTGTAGGGTTTTCTGACCATTGGTCACTATCAGACACCTCACAAAAAAAGGAAAGTTTTCTCTCCAAGGATATTGGAGATGAATAAATTGGAAGGCTGGATTCCCTACATTGAAGTAGATGGTTGCCGAGGGAAGTGGCCTGGGGGAGCTTCCAGTTCCAATATGGGAGATGAAATCAGCTCAGCAGTTTGAGTCCCTCAACTGAGGAAAGTCTAGTGATTTGCAGGCTGTTCCCAGGGCATGCAGGATGTGGGGGCTAGGGATTCTACCAACTGCCCTGATTTGTATCAGTTCAGCTCAGTAAGCTGCCTCTCCTTGAGCAAGACTGACTGCTAAATGGTTACTGGTCCTAGCCATTGGCTCAAAAAATAATAACTTGTATATAGGTATCTTACTCAGTGTACCTGATGATGAAGGAGTCTGTTTTCCTCCTCTGATGTCCTGAGAAGGGATGGGGCAGCAGGCAAGGGACCGTTGTGGTCTACCTGGATCACCTCCACTGACTCAATGGAAATGTCAAACTTAAGGCAATTAGCTAAAACCCCACACTGGGTTCCAGTTGTAAAACTAACTTTTCCCTTTCTGTGTGAACTTAGTAACCTTAGCAGACAACTGGGACAGAAAAAATATGTTGAAGCACATGCTTAGCTTATTACTTTCCATAGGAAATGTTTTAATAAGGAAAGTTACGTGAGCAGAACTGTGGGTTTTAGAAAAATGACTCTGGCAGCTTTGTGGAAATTGGACTGGTTTGCTTTCTCCATTCTTCACCAGCCACCATCCAATTTCTACATAGCTTCCAGGATTATTTTTCTGAAACCACAAATCTGTTCATATAATTTCCCTTTTTAAAATACTTCTGATGGAAGAAAAATAAAAATACTGACCAAGGAAATAATCCTGAAGCTAGCTGGTGATGTTCTAATCTATAGTAGTGGTGGTTGGCATGGTGAGAAACCAAGCATGTTGAGAAATACTTGGCCTGTAGAAACAACAGAACTTGGTGAGGAGTTCATTTTTAAAAGTATGAGTCATTGATTACATAATTAAAGTTATTAAACACCTACTATTTATAATTTGGTCTTAAAGACAGGTCATCAGATTAGCTGCCTTCAAGAAACTGAAGCTATAATGGAAGAGACATGGAATCAAATAATTACAATACTAAGTGAGGAGCTCAGTATGGGGATGCACACATATTATTATGGGAGCACAGCAGTGAGTAATAACTAATTCTCCCTCATGGGTCCCAGAGGAAGCTTAATAAAGAAAGTCATTTTGGGAATTTACTTGAAGATTTGGTAGGAGTAAGTGAAACAGGTGAAGAGAAAAATGGTATCCCCTTCAATAAGTAGAGAATATGCCCATGGAAGAAAGGACATAGAGTGTTCAGGGAGTTGTTTACATGAATGGAGTACAAAAGTACACATTAGGGAATGTTGGAAGATCTGCTTGTAAAAGCAGCCAACATGTTATGAAAATTATTTGACTTGAACCTTATACACAAAAAAGAAATAACTGAAAATTTTTACATATGGAACTGACATGTTCTGGTAGCAGAGGGCAATTTGAGTTTGAGAAAGTTAAGAAGAGAAGCATAAAGATCAATTAGGAAACTTTTCTAAAAACTCAGATGCGTAACAACCAGCACCTGAAGCAAAGCAATAGGAAAAGGAGACATTCCAGCTAATGATTGTGATACAACTTGGAAAATTATTCAAAGAATGTAGACACACAGCACACATACATCTCAGCCTTTGAGGAGCATAGCTAAATTCTGAAAATCCTAGGTTAACAGGAATATTGCCTCACCAAAAGGCTATGCCAAAATACACATGAATTTATAATACCAAACATGATGGATCAAGTTCCTTCACCTGTGAAATAACTGAACTTCAGACCACTTCAAAATGTCCCCCAGTTATTACTGGAAGCCTCCAAAGGTACATTTCCTACACGCTAACAAGCCAGTCTGTCAGCCTCACTAATATTCATCTGTTCTTTTATTCTGGTTCTTGTATGTTTTTAGTTGCTTGAAGCAAGCTCCTCCTTCTGCCCCCACTGGTGGTGCCAATTGTGAGCAGGTCAATGCTTATGCCAGACAGGCTGCCTCTAGACATTCCCCAAGCTACTGACTTTGAGTGCCAAAAAGAAGTGTATGATTTTGCAAAGGTGCCAAGAATAACCTCTTCTCTAACTCTGTCCACAATCCATCAACACTTGACCCAGAAGTAGCTCTGATGATGTCCACAATTTGACAAAGTTTCTCACGCAATGTTACTGTTTCCGATGGTCTTTTCTTATGATCTTACCAAGTTTCTCATAAAAACTTCTGTTTTTATCCCTCTACCCATAGAAGCACAAACGGAGTCTTCTAAAAAAATGTGATCAGGACATCACATTTCTTTTATTGTTTTTTCTCCTCATTCCCAAAGCATCTTTATAAGAGTAAATTACTTTACCTATGATACCACTCTGTCTTTCTAAAATTTGATTTTTTTTTAGTTATGTAAAACTAAATAGCTCTATATTGGTGGGAGTTTTGAGAAGTATCAGTAGGGATAAGTCACCTACAATTAACGAAAAACTCAAATATAATAGCTGTAAATGATAAGAGTTATTTTCTGTCCAATAACAAGAAGTCTGGAGATTGGTAGTTTAGTGAAGGTAGAGTGACTTACTGATCATCTGGAACTCAAGATCTCTCCATCACTGTGTAGACCTTTGTCCTTATGCTTGTCACCTGGTGATTGCATGAGGAATGCTGCATTTACTGTCATTGCTTTTGTTTTTTTAAAATTATTTATTTGTTTATTTATTTATTTTTGAAACAGAGTCTAACTCTGTCACCCAGCTGGAGTGCAGTGGCACAATCTTGGCTTTTGGATAACAGGCAAGAAAAGGGTAGAAAGGACAAAAATGCTTTTTCCTGAGAAGGGCTACCTTTTTATTTCAGAGGGGGGTCTGCCTAGAAGACTTCTGATAAAGACTCATTGTCAGTCTTTGAGTTCTTTGCCTACTCCTGCAAAAAGGTGTCTAAGAAAACTGAGTGCTTACCTTTCCAGACTCTAAAAGTAAGAGAGTCAGGAGAAAAAAATGGTTGGAAGTGAGTGCTGAGTGAGCCCAAATACTGCGTTTCCAATACTATGAAAATTCCTCTGTGGAGGGACTTGAATTTAAAGAAAATATTACTATCTAATGAGACTGGGTTTGCTAGATAGACATACAGAACACCCAGTTAAATTTAAATTTCAGATAACCAATGAGTAGTCTTTTAGGCTATACGTATAACCCATGTGATATTTTAGACATAATTATACTAAAATCATTTTTTGTTTATCTGCAATTCAAATATGCCTGGGTATTCTATATTTTCTCTGCTAAATCTGGCAACCCTAAGTGAAGTCTTCTCCCTTTGGTTATCAAATTGTCTGACAAACTAGCTAAAATGTATAAGCCCTAGGTTATCAAAGGAATACTGCAATTTAGTTACAGTGCACTAGTTTCAATTTTGTTTCAGTGACACGCAGGTAACCATCTAAAATCCCTTCTGGACCTCTCCCTGAGACAGCCTGACATATTAGAAGATACACTCTGATCTTTATCTTTACTGATATGCCTGAAGGTTCTTTCGTCACTTCCTAGTCCGGATAACCAGATCCAGTGCCTAATTGTAGCCTCACAGCAAACACACACATACACACAAGCACATGTATCCTTCTCAGTCCTCCCCCTAGGCCTAAGGGTGGCAGGAGATAGCAATAAAACTTGAATTCACTTAATGGGTAGAAATTAAGTATGTCTGTGGTCTCAGTTTAAGAGCATCCTTGAACTAGAAAATCAGTCTTTAACTGAACTAAGAAAATCCACAGTCATCATTTCTTCAAACCCTTTTTATTTTGAGTAACTGAAAAATTCCCCCAAGTGGTTCCCCTCAACAAAGGAAAAATACACACCAAATGTGAATTCAAGTCTCTGACTATTAGAACAATAAAACACTTCTCAAAACTTTGAGACCACAATTCTTCAGACTCCTACACTCCTGTACAGGGTGTGGGACACCCTCAGCAGCAGCCTCTACCCAGAGGCAGTTCCTCCCATGTGGGTTGGGAATGGGTTGGTCAGCCCGGAAATGATGGCTGCGCTGCAGATCTCTACTTCCTATTCCTTTTCCCTGTTACATATGTAACCTGCTCATGTAGTTCCCTAGGGGGAGAAAGTGCCAATCATTGTATAACAGGAAATTAGTGAGGATCTGAGTCAAAGAGAAAGAGGACGGACTGGTGTCTGCTGGAGGTGGCCCACTGAAAGAATCTAAAAAAGGAGTATGAGGAGCCACGCAGTTCTTAGGCGTTACGATAAGAAACAACCACTGCTCTCCTTAACATTAGTGGGTAGTAGCAGGTTCCCTCAATGAACCATCTATGTGCAGCCTAGCAGCAGGTATTAAATCGTTTACCACAGGGCCAAGTGCAGTTACAACCTAGGAGCCACACTGCAGAGACGTCCCCTAATTTCCTTTACCCTGAAAAACTCTGCCTTGCTAGAAGAGCTGGCATTGCCACAGTTGGATCTTAATTACAGTTGATGAGTATGACTCCAAGCCAGGCTGAGTGTCCAGTGTTCAACAATGATACACATGGGGTGGAGAAAGAATTGATGACAGCCAACAATAGGGGATTCGCCTGGGAACTGAGCAGGTCCTCCAATTCTCTCTCCAAGAGGCAATTATATAGAAACAGGACTGGCACTTTAGGGCTGAAGGAACTCTTTCGTGTCCTTGGCCTGTTTACAGATGGTTGGGATTGGAGGCCCCAGGAGAGAGACTAAGCATTGCGAATATTTTGTGCAAATAGGGAACCAGGAAGTTTTAACATGAAAAGAGAAAAGATGAAGTGAGATTCTTTTTATACCTAAGGAGTGATGCTGTTCGTACTATTTAGGTATGCAATTATTTGTGTGCCTATACTGTGAAGACAGGGACTATGTTTTCATCCGAATATCTCTGGGATATAAATGAGCATCCAGACACTCTATAGGTATATAATATATCTTTTTTAAATAAATAGCTTAGTTTCTGACTAATTCCTTCCTATCCTTCCTGGAAAGAGGAGGAAATGTCATCTTCTCACTGGTGTGGAAGTTTGATTGACGACATTGGCAAATATTTTTCTAGTTACAACTGAGGAATGAAGGAGTAAAACTACATTTATAGAACTTACATGAAAATTTCCAGATGTCTCAGAAATAATTTTAAACACCATAATTTTTGCCACCTGGAAGTTAGCAAATAAATGCTTAATGAGCAAATAATTTTTACGATAAAAGTCTTTAAAAAAAAAAAATCCAGCCTGGGCAATATAGTGGGACTTTGTTTCTACAAAAACAAAATAAAATAAAATAAAAATAAAAAGTTTTTTAATTAGCCAAGTGTGGTGGCACATGCACCAGCTACTCAGGAGACTGAGGTGGGAGGATCACTTGAACCCAGGAGGTCAAGGCTGCAGTGAGCTGTGATGAGGCTACTGCACTCCGGCCTGGGTGACAGAGTGAGACTGTCTCAAAAAGTAAATAAAAATTAGAATAAAATTTTTTAACAAAATTCGTGTATATGACACTCCCTATATATCTCAATGATATTTTCCCCAAGTCACTCTATTTATTTATTTAATTAATTAAATTTTTGTATTTCCATAAGTTATTGGGGAACAGGTAGTGTTTGATTACATGACTAAGTTCTTCGGTGGTGATTTGTGAGATTTTGGTGCACCCATCACCCGAGCAGTGTACACTGCATCCAATTTGTGGTCTTTATATATTTCAATTTTAAAAGTAGGAACTGGTAGGATGCAGTGGCTCATACCTCTAATCCTAGCACTTTGGGAGGCCAAAGCAGGTGGATCACCTGAGGTCAGGAGTTCAAGACTAGCCTGGCCAACATGGTGAAACCCTGTCTCTACTAAAAATACAAAAATTAGCTGGGTGTGGTGGTGGGTGCCTGTAATCCCAGCTACCTGGGAGGCTGAGGTAGGAGAATTGCTTGAACCCAGGAGGCAGAGGTTGCAGTGAGCCGAGTTTGCACCATTACACTCCAACCTGGGTGACAAGAACAAGATTCTGTCTCAAAAATAAATAAATTAATTAATTTAATTTAATTAGGAACCTAAATTTAATTATTTAATCTGTTCAATGTGCTGTTTTTCTCACAATGTTGTAGAAACATAATAGGCTTCCAAAAATGAGGTCCTCTCAATATTTGTGAGGCTATAAAATTGCTAAAAGTGTTTCAATGGACAGCTTGTACATGCAGTTTATGCATATAAGTCAATATTTTTCTGTTGCGTAGATCTCTAAAGTTTACATTGTTAGATCAAAATCTATAAACATTTTAAAATTTCTATCTGTTGTGCCAATAATGTATGAGAGGGCCTATTTTCCCATGTCCTCACCCAAACTGAGTATCATTTATATTTTTGAATTTTTGCTAGTCTGGGGCTGGGCACGATGGCTTATGCCAGTAATCCCAGCAGTCTGGGAGGCCAAGGTGGGTGGATCACTTGAGGTCAGGAGTTTAAGACCAGCCTGGCCAACATGGAGAAACCTCATCTCTACTAAAAATAGGAAGATTAGCCGGGCATGGTGGTGCATGCCTGTAGTCCCAGCTACTGGGGAGGCTGAGGCAAGAGAATCGCTTGAACCGGGGAGGTGGAGATTGTAGTGAGCCAAGATCACGCCATTGTACTCCAGAGCAAGACTCTGTCTCGAAAAAAAAAAAAAAAAATTGCTAGTCTGATGAATCAAAAACTGTTGTTTTAATATTTTACTTTTGATTTTTTAGACCACTAGTGACATTGAGCATCTTTTCTGTGTTTATTATGAATTGAAATATTTCCTGTGAATCATCTGTTTTCATCCTTTGCCCATTTTTTCATTAAAGTGTTTGTCATTTGGGTCCACCTCTGGAAGCCATCTGTTTTATGGTTATCCACTGTTATTTTTTTAAAAATTAGTTATGGGAGACGTTGCATTTAAGCTATTTAACATGCATCCATGAATTTTATAGATGTAACGATGCTGACTGTGGCACCCCCTCAATAGTGATTAGGACGTGAGATGGTGATGGTGATCAGAATGAGAGAATGCTCTAGTAGTTGGGAACGCTGTTGCTCAGGATGAGCACTCTCTCATCCTGGTCACTATAATTGCCCCTCTCCTCTGCTGCCCACATTCATAAAAGCGAAGAAGAAATGTAGGTAAAAGAACACTGAATGAGAAGATAAAAATGGTCGGCCCTTGGATACATGGGTAAGATGGCAGTCCATTGCTGATCCATAGCACGGCTCAGCCCTATTTCATATGAACCCACCACTAAATTTAATCATCTCATGCACTTTATGAAAAGTAAACATATTAAAATATTTTATTAGAAAGATAAATTGGGAGAAATTATTTATATTGTACCAAGTGTACAAAGTTTATGCACATCAAGTTACACTGATTGAATGTACTAAACACTTTATCATTAAGTGTACACCTATTGTATAAGGAAATATGGAAATAAAACATCAACTTTTTAAAAAAAAAAAAACTAGGGTATATTTTTACCACCAAAAAGTTGAATAAGAATGGATACATGTTTTTTGTTATCCTTTCAACAATACTTCTAAACATCTGGCTAAATCCTGTGTGCCTGTTATGTGTAAATTCCTAGACTCGAGAGAAAAAACTTGTTTCATTGGTTTCCCTAAAATACTCATGCAGATACTGTTGAGTTTTGGTGTGCTCTAAAGTTTACCATTTATATTTTTAATGCCATATAGCCTGACCCTGATATTCAGATTCTATAATGATGTCATGATCTTCTGAATGATTCTCAGTAGTGTACCAATATCACCAGACTTGCTCACCACCACTACCCAGTCAAAAGCATGGACTCACACAATTTAAAGGAAATGTTTCAGTTTGAAAATATATATATTGTCTCCTATGCATGGGGAGATTTCCAGATAATGTGTTTAAATATGGCTCACATGGGTCAGTCTCCCACCAGCCATGACTGTACCATCAGGCATGTATGGACTTGTCCTGGAACACTCTGTGTGTCAATTAGGTAGCCAGGTCCACTAGGTTTCTTTGCTTTCACAGGGAGTCAAAGAGAAGACATTAGGATTGTGATTGCAAAATGAATTTTAATAAAGAAATGGAAAATATCAGGATAATAATAGTAAGCAATGATTGACCCTACAGGGTAGGTATTATTACAGAGATAACAATTTTTAAGATGAAGATGCTTCCAAGAATAATTTGCTAAAAGCCTTAGAATTCAGAGGTTTCAGAGCCAGGATTCAAATCACTGCCTCTCATGAATTCTGGCCTTCAAGAGAGTTTGGGAAGATAAAAATTCATCTCATTCCTGATCCTCACTTGAAATGAACATATTGCAAATTTTAGGGGAAGGAACCACTAAAATAATCTGTATGCCAAGTTCTAAGAGATCCAGATGTGCTAAAAATCTCAAATTACAAAACAGATTAATTAGGGATACATTTTACATGTTAATAGCAGTGCCAGGGAACCAGAAAAAACCTGGGCATAAAAGGTTTGAGCAGTCAGTCGGCACACCTGGATCAGTGTCTCCTCTGTGAATCAGGCTTTCTTGGGAAAATAGATTTACGGAGATGAAGTTCTTGTAAGCTCCTCTCTACATCTGCTAATTTCTGTCTTTCAGAAATAATTATATTCTCCCATCTATGTAAAAAGACCTAATTGAGATGGTGTACTTACTATCATCCAGTCATTTACTCTTTCAATGGATATTTATTGAGCAACTACTGTATGTGAGACACTATTCAAATATACATCAAAGAATTAACAGCTTCTTCTCAGGATGTTTATTTATTTTTTCCCCTATCATACTGAAGACTGAATCAATTCACTTCACAATTAATGTAGGAAAATATGGGGAAGAAAAAATATACCTACTCCCATCTTTCTAATTTTGAAAATGTAATAAAAACCAAGATGATCCTTTTTTCTTCCATTCTTACCAACCCACTTTTAATATGGAGTTTTATGACTTTTAGAATGAGAAAGAAACAGATAGAAAATGAGAAAGTGAAAACGAGGGGGGAATCCAAATGAGTCTGTAACTAGTTTTCACCTATTTAGGTGATTCAAAAGAGATCTTGTTATGAAAACCCAAAATAGTGAGTGATCACTATTTTCTTTTCTTCCTCTGTCTTCAAGACCACCAATGTCTTGTCCAGCCTGACAGAGAATGTGATCCCAAATAACAGATGTACCCTGTTGAGGCCAGTGTCTAAGAACATATAGACTCCATAGTGTATATGTGCCACATTTTCTTTATCCAGGATGAAGCTAGAAACCATCATTGTCAGCAAACTAACACAAGAACAGAAAACCAAACACCACATGTTCTCACTCATAAGTGGGAGTAGAACAATGAGAACACATGAACACAGGAAGGGAAACATCACACACCAGGGCCTGTCAGGGGATGGGGGGCTAGGGGAGGGATAGCATTAGGAGAAATACCTAATGTAGATGACAGGTTGATGGGTGCAGCAAACCACCATGGCACATGTAGACCTATGTAACAAACCTGGACATTCTGCACATGTACCCCAGAATTTAGAGTATAATAAAAAAAAAAGTTAATTCCAATGTTAGTTATGCATAATTTCATTCATTTAAAAAACACATAGACATAGGCTGAAACAAGGAATAAGCAACTGTGTCTCCTTTTGTATTTCGCATTTTAAACAATCCTCAGAACAAGGTCGGAAAGAGGCATCTCAGAGTTTTCCAGTGGACTTCTCTATTCGTAGTCCTAGACTAATTTAAAGCTCAGTAAGCGTGAAGAAATTGGACTAGAAACCTAATTCTGAAACTATCATACATCCAGAAAAGAAATGAAGTAATAAAACCCAGCTGGCCATATATGAATTGTTAAATGTTTACTGACTAAAAGAAAATGGAGAAATATTAGTTGGTAAAAGCGATGTTTTAACCAGTCCAGAAGCTTCTACTCAGGGAACAAAGTAGAAGCAGCCATTTAAAACAGTACTTTGTGTCAGTAAGTTTATTAAATAGGAAGACTGGCAAGCCTGGTTAAAAGTAGACTGTCCGTCCAATTAAATTACAGAATATTAAAAAGGTCAAAGCAATATAGAAGTCCTCTAATTCATACAAAACACCAAAATTCTGATTTCTCATACTCCTGACAAAGATTGTAATTGCGATTTGAAAAGGGTAAAATATTTATCTAGTCCTTTGACAAAGATTGAAATGAGAATGTGGCTGCACAAATGTAACCTCACAAATGTAACGTGAAAACTAGTTTTTATAAAGGCTGAACCAAAACTCCTATATATTTTGTCCCTGCTAGGAGGATCACAAAATGATTATAACAAAATCATTTCTTTTTTAATCTTTTAATATATATTTAGATGTTATCTCCTTATGTATAAAATTATATGACTTATCTAAAGTCTCCATGAGCTTCTATGTCACGTAAGCATTAAGTCTTCATTTATTCTATAGATCATTTTGTGGTTTTCTGTTAAGATTTAGTTTCCTTCACATATTGCTAAAGATATTCAAGAATAAGAGCCCTGTAGGTACATCAAATCTTTGGAAAAGATATGGGGTGTAAATTGCAATGTGTACACAATAATGGTGTGACTTTGTTTGTAATAAACATTTAAAATGACCGACTTTCTCATAAATACACTAAGTGGGATGATCTATGAGATTTCTAATTTATTCTTGTTTAAAATTTAACCATGCTTTTTTAAAGCATATCAATTTTGTTAATACCATGTAATTAAAACATGTCAGTGCACAGCAAGTTTTAGTCTAAATTAATGACTATGAGAATTATTTTAATTAAATAACCAATTATAGAAAAATCGCAAGCATGAGAGCTGACATTTAAATGAATTTCATTTAAATTGCTTCTTAACATTGTCCCATCTAGGACACTAATGCAAAATGAACTATTGTATCAACTTAGATTATCACTATTTTTGTATGCACATAATGTATTCATATTCAATCACTGGAACTGAGTAGAATATTTGGTATTGATCTAAAACTATTAATAAAACACAACAGAATAAGCTAAAGCAAAAACAAACCATCTTTCTTTTTTTTAATATGGACTTCTAAATGCTATTATAATTCTCACAGGGAAAATATGTTTATGCATTTGGGAATTATACCTAATTAAATCAGGAGACTTTGAGCTCCACTTTTAACTGGATGTACATATACAGCTTCAGTGCTTTGCACATAGTGGGTCTCTATGAATGCTTGTTATCAGTGCTACTATGTGTATTTCTGTCTTTTTTTTTTCAAATGTACTACTGAGGTATATAGCTTCCCCTTGGGAACTGAAAAATTCAAGATTCGTATCAGATAAGAAAGTTACCTGTTCTATGAGAATTCAGCTGGATATATGTTTACATGTTTGCTTTTATACAGCTCAAACACTACAATGTCATTTTCTCTGCTTGAATAAACTTTTGTTATTACTTTTAGAATATTATTTACATTTTTGCTATTCATTTCATATTCATCCTCCCACAAATTTTTTTTTAAAGCGAAACAACCGATTATATAATTTTCCCCACTAAAAACCTTTAACTTCATAATACTATTTCTGGGAGAATAGGAGAATATCTGAACAAAAGGCAAATTTATAGAAATTGTGCTGCCTTATTGATTGCAAAATGCAAGTGTGGAAGGCACTATAGAAAAAGTTTTGTTTTTATATGAAATGAGGTTGAACACATTTTGATTCATTGCCAAACCATCAGTAAGATTTTAAAGGAAATGTTTTATCAGGTATACCAATTACTCCTTTGTTTGCTGTCATGTCACACAGTTTGATACAGGAATTATGATTCTAAATGGACTATTAATGCCTTTTAGTTGATTTTTCCGAAGATGAGTTTTATACATCCCTTTGGGAAAAAATCTTATTTATTTAGTAGTTTGCAACCTATCATAAAAGGAGCATTCTCCATGTTTTACTGGAAAAGAGAAAGCAATCGTATTTAGATTTGACTAGTTAATTGTTCTTCTTCATTGGAATGCATTAGGGCATGCAGTTTAATTATTATGTTCATACTTGCACACTTCACTTTTTTATCGTCAAAAATTATTTAATATCAGAAAAATGATAATACTTTTCTACATCATATTTCATCTTGCTATCATTTTAAAAATAAAGAGGAAAGGAAAAGGCTACTGCATTTGTTGTTCATTGATTAACCAGTAATGTTATGTATAAATAATGTATCTGACAGTATGGCAGCCCACTTGGGACATTATGCCATTTACTACAAAATAGGATGCAACATACAACTGAGCAGTGAGAACAAATTAAACATCTTTCCTTGGTAACTTTAGCATTTTTATTAGGTGATAAACATCACAGTGAGAGCAAAGCAGATGTAGTTATTTCAGTAATATTAACCTTAATCGAAAGCTAACTTGACATACAGCATAATACTTTTTCTTTAGAAAATTCTTTTCAATAACACTGGAAACAAAATTTTCTAAAGTCATTGTGAGATGATATCTGTAAAAATTAATGATTATCTTGTGTAAAATTTCATCTATACATAGTGAATTATACTATTAATATTGATGAAAAAAATTTAAACATAAATGTAGTGTCTTATAAGCATGAAAAATACCCAAGTATTTTCAATGTTGTGTTTCTTTTGTCTTAACAAACACGTCCTACTGTGTTATTTGACTATGTGTGAATTTTATTTTTTCAAGACTGTGTTAATATAATCCTCAAACTATTTTAGAAGCAACTAAATAGTGAATAAAATGAAGAGTAGAAATGTAATTAGCAATCAACATCCATCTCCCCTTCTTTCTTGTTTTAGTCCATCATTTATTCATGGAGATAGAGGTGAAAAACTCAGTCCTTAAAGGAATTAACAATTGTGTGGTTGACAACAGATGTTAAAGTCCATATAATATACCAGATGTGTTGTTGTAACAGATCCATCCTTAGTATACAGCAGTGAACAAAACAGATTCTGCCCCACATCATTTTTATATTCTAACAGAATGGAATAGTCCATAAACAACAAGCATAAGAAATACATTGGTTATATCGCATGTTGTAAGGGGAAAAGTGCAATGATAAAAAGGAAAAGAAAGTAGCTGAAGGTAAAGTGGATGGGGGAGGATGGCTGTGAAAGCGGCTGGTGGGGTAGGCTTCATTGAGAAAGGGATACTGGAGGAATGATTGAAGCAGGTGACAAGTTAGCCTTACCTGGGAGAGAAGTGAACCAGCGAGAGGGAACAGTAAGTATAATGTTCCAGTTGGGATTCTGCTTGGCATGTCTGAGGAACTGTAAGGAAGCTAATGTGGCTAGAACAGAGTAAGCAAAGTCAGAGAAGAACTATGAAAGGAGCTGGGATGCCAGATCATATAGGGCTTGATGGGCCATTGTAAGGAATCTGGACTTCATAAGAAATGGGGAGCCAAGGCAGGGTTGTGAGCACAAGATTGACATGATCTGACTTACATTTATAGGATCACCCTGACTTCTTACTGGCAATTCACTGGAGGAGATCAAATGTGTGCTAGTCTGCTAGAGCTATCAAAACAGAATACCACAGACTGGGTGGCTTAAAGAACAGAAATTTATTTTTTCAAAGTTCTTGAGGCTAGAAGTCCAAGAACAAGAGGCCAACAGAGTCAGTGTCTGGTGAGGCCTCTCACCTTGGCCTACAGGCAGGCGTATTCTTTCTGTGTCTTCTCATGGCCTTTGTCATGTGCGCTCACTTTTGATGTCTCTTCCTCTTTGTTTAGGGAAACCAGTCCTGCTGGATTATGGCCCTTTCCTTATGACCTTTTTTAACTTCAATCACCTCCTTAAAGGTCCTATCTCAAAGACAGTCACATTGGGGAGTTAGGGCTTCAACACATGAATTTGGTGGGGACACACTTCAGTCTATAACAAAGAATAAAAGAAATGAAACTATTACAGCAAATCAGGTGAAAAATGATGTCAACTCAAATCATGATGGCAATAGTGGAGGTGCTGAAAAGTGATTACATTCTAGAAATATTTTGAAGCTAGACTGAAAAGGATTTCCTGATTTATTGGAGGTAAGGCATGAGTGAGAAAATTAAGGTAAAGATAACTCAAAGGTTTTTGCCATGAACAATTAGAAGAATTGAGTTGCCGTCCCTTAAGACTGATTAGGTTGCTGAAGGAATAGATTTGGGGCAGGAGGCAATCAAGAGTTCAGAATTGGATGTGTGGTGTGAGAGAAGTCTTTATTGCATGAAGTAGTGGAAATGTGAAGGAGGCGGTTGGACTTATCAGTTTGGAAAGAGTTGGAAAGAATCTTGGGTAGAATGAAAACAGAAAAGTGGAAGTCTGT
The DNA here is from genome assembly GCF_000001405.40 of Homo sapiens. Classification (NCBI taxonomy): domain Eukaryota; kingdom Metazoa; phylum Chordata; class Mammalia; order Primates; family Hominidae; genus Homo; species Homo sapiens. Next base: position 72,091,389 of record NC_000013.11, on the reverse strand, counting down.
GACATATAGGTGGTATTTAAAGCCAGGAGACCGGAGACAGCAAGAGTGTGTGTAGATGAAAAGGAGATGAGTCCAAATATCTGTCATCCACAGTTAAGAAGTCTGAGGAAGGAAATGAACCAGCAAAAAAGGGTGAGAAGGCAAGAGATCAGAAGAGTGGAAGGAAAGCCAGCTAAGTGTATAGAAAGCCAATAGAAGAAAGTAAATCAAGGAAGAGGGATCAATTGTTCCAAAGGCTTCTAACAGTTGAATGAGATGAGGGGTTGAGGAATGGCCACTGGATTTAGCAACAAGGACTTTCACCAGATCAGTTTCACTTGGAGTAAGTTTAAGAGAGAATGGGAGGAGAGAGCTCAGATAAAATAAAAACAGACAACATTTTCCAAATAATTTTGCCTAAAAGGGAAGCAGAAAAATGGGCTGTCTGGGGGTAGGGATGATTAAGTAAAGGGTATAATTTTAGAATAAGAGAAATTACATCAGGATATTTATTTACAATCAGAATAACCCAAGTAGAGAATGAAACACTGATGATAAAGAAGAGAGACAGAGGATAGACAGCGTTGTTCTAGACAGTGTGAGAAGAGGTGGGTCGTAGGCAGAAGTGATGGGGCTGTACAGGGAAACACAGATAGTTCTGTTTGTGGTATCGAGCAGGAAGCAGAGAACCTGGGTGCAGATGCTGGTGTATGGTCAATGTGGTAAAACCTAAAGAAATTTTCCTCTTATTGCTTCAATTTTCTCAGCAAAATAGGAAACAATGGGCACAAATTCTAGCCCTAATTAAGGATGGCTTTCAAAGCACTTGACCTCAGGGTTTGGAAAGGTCTACAGCTGTTGGTCAAGTGAACAAAGGATGACCGACTAGTTGGAGGTGTTCACAGGCAGAGGAGAGTGCATCTGGGGAGTGACAGTAACTTGGATTTACATGGCTCTTTACTATTCCCAAAATATATTTTATCATTATTTCTCACAACGGCCTTTTGAAAAAGGTATTAGTGCTCCTATTACACAGAAGAGGAAACTGAACCTCTGTGTTAGTCTGTTCTCATGCTTCTAATAAGGACATACTCAAGACTGGGTAATATATTTTAAAAAGAGGTTTAGTTGACTTACAATTCCACATGGCTGGGGAGGCCTCACAATCATGGCAGAAGGCGAATGAGAAGCAAAATCACGTCTTACATGGCAGCAGGCAAGAGAGCTTGTGTAGGGGAACTCCCCTTTATAAAACCCTCAGATCTCGTGAGTTTTATTCACTATCACCAGAACAGCAAGGGAAAGACCCGCCCCCATGATTCAGTTACCTCCCACCAGGTACCTCCCATGACATGTGGGAATTATGGAAGCTACAATGATTTTGGTGAGGACACAGCCAAACTATATCAGCCTCAGACTAAAGGCCATTTGCCAATAAATAAGTAGCAGGAATCTGAACTTCTAGAAGGAATTCTTCCTTGAAGATATCTTAAATATTAAACTTTTAAAAGACGTTGATCAGATATAACATTGTTTATTAGAGAAGACAATTCACCATTATGACCAAAACAGAAAATATATTACATCAAATGAAAAAGGGAAAAAAAGGCCAAGAGAACACATTTAGAGCGTTCTCCAGGAGATGAAAGCTGAGCAGTTGAATTCAAAACTACTTGGCTCTGAGACCTGAGAAGCAGCTAATGAAGAACCAAGAAAAACTAAAGAAATAAAGGCCTAGAAAGTACAGCTGTGTTTCCTCTGCCTCTTTTGGATTCAGTCATGATAATAAAACAGATTATTTTTGCATTGTTTCTTTTTCTTCATGTTTTGGTCATTGTCCCATTCTAGAAGATCTTATTTTAGGAAGAAAGTTATAGCCACAGCAATCTAGGGTATGAACATTGATGACATAATCCTCACAAACAGGTTGACAGGAAACAGTTCAGTCAATTTGATTCAGGAAGCCATTTTCCCCATTGGTAATAACTGTCCCCCTTCCTCTCTTCCTTACACTCAGCTAGGATTTTTTTTTTCATAATTAATTCCCAAATACTGAGCATTCTCATGTGTGTAATGCTCTATAGGTTGTAAATTGTGTTCACATCCATTATCTCATTTCTTCCTCACCACAGCATAGCAGGCAACAGTTTGTCCAGACCCCTACAGTTAGGGTGTTTGGATAAGAGAAGGGACCACAGCTGTCATGTTCGTCAATGCACTGCCAGCATGCAGCCTGATGCAGAATGGAAGTTCATCTAATATTGAGTAGGGCTGTAGGAATCAGACAAGCATCATTCCCATTTCACAGATAAAACTGAAGCTCCAAATTACAGTTAGATGTCAGCTCATAGAGGCAGAGAGTAGAATCGTGGTTACAAGGGTGTGGGGCATGGGGAGCTGTTGGTGAAAGGGTACCAAATTTCAGTTATGCGAGATGAATAAGTTCTGCAGATCTAATGTATGGCATGGTAACTATATGTAACAATACTGTGTTTTATACCTGAAATTTGCAAAAAGGGTAGACTCTAAGTCTTCTCACCACACACACACACGCACACACACGCACACACACACACACGTATCCTGTAAGGTGATGGACATGTTTATTAGCTTGATTGTGGTGATCATTTCACAATGTATACATATATCAAAGCATCAAATTGTATACCTTAAATATATACAATAAAAATTTTAATCATAAAAAGAAATTGTATTTAGAAGTAAGGTTAAGTGATCTGCTATAGTATCATACTACATACTAAATGACTGTACTCCCTATTAAACTTCTTGAAATGTCATTAGTTTGAGCTTCTACCAGCAAAATAGGAACTTATGTGTTTATGGAGAGACAGATTAGATAATGTATTATCTTCACAACCAGGTGCATAGGTAGGAAGCTTTGAGAAATCGGTCTTGTTATACAATTGACATAACCTAAGGTAATCTTTCAAAATTCAGTTAATAAAATTGTCCCTATTTTAACCTGACAAAATAGACAGATATTTCTTTTTTAGCTTAAAGTACAGCATGATTCTGTACTAACTCTTCTTTGGATTCTTTTTTAAACATATGTTTATCATTTATAGGTTATCTAAGGATACAAATAGACTAGTATCTAAAGGAAAAGAGTTATCAGAAAATTTGAATTATACTTATGCTTGCACTTCTATTCACAAAGGTAAGTCCCTGTTCACGTTTTCTATTGCAATTACAGCTTTTGGAAAATTAAAATCCTGATTGAGACTGATCACCAGCTAAGATATACTAGACCCATGAAATGCAAGTGAAATAACAGAAATCTTTATGTAAAACACCCTTTTTAGAAAAGAAGTGTTGACACATAGTGCAATAGTGTTTTTTTTATTCTAAAAGCCAAAATTTGGTATTTTGTCATCATTCTTTCAGCATTTTAGATTGTATTCCGTTTATTATCTATCAATAATTGACAACACCTAACACGGACTCTACATGTGTGTGTCATACACATGTCCAAGGTGACTTCTCATGTCATGTTGTTGTTTCAGATCCTACCACTTGATGGCAGATATGGTAAAAGTCAGTTTAAAAAGGGGGAAGGGGAGCCCAAATGCACAGAAACCTTGTTGGAAAAGCAGAGTCCCCATACCTGTGGATCTCCACATGGTTCTCTTCAGGGATTCATAATTGAGATGCCACCCAGAACGATACCAGGCTGATGGGATGAACATGTGTGGCAAATGGGAAGCAAGACAATGCCAGGAGGCCGGTGACAGAACCGGAGAGAGAGGGAGGAAGTCATGGGAAGGAATTCATGACATGACATTCCTAGTGAAATAACCTCATGATTACTAAACGTCCTTCTTCTTAGTTTTATGATGGAGCATCTGCAATAGAGGGGAGAAAGAATCTAGCCTTCAAATATCTATCTACAGCTCTCTGTTTGTCTCTATATATACACACACATACGTATATTATATTTTGTATGTTATATCATATATATATACATGTATCTTGAATTCAGCTACAAGTCATGGTATGACATTAATATTGAAGTAATCAGCACTGGAAACTCTGTTTGTTAGTTTTATAAGGGAGCATCTATATAGAGGAGGGAGAACCAATTTAGCCTTCAAATATCCATCCATGCCTCTCTGTCTGTATCTATACAGACACAGGTACATCTATACTATATGGTACCATACTTTAATCCAAAAAAGAAATACCTACTTTGTGAGGTTAAAATAAAGACAATTTTATTAACTGAAAGTCTTAAAAGGTTCCTTAAGTTATGGCAATAGAATAATGAGTCTGATTTCTCAAAGCATCATACCTAAGCATGTGGAAATGGATATTTTGTTATACTAATGATCAGGACCAGCTAAATAATTTTTTGAGCCTAGCACAAAGTGATAGTGGGGGTACCTGGGTCAGAAGGTGGGAAAAAATGATGTTAAGGATGTTAAAATGTTACGCTGCTTTGTTTATTCCAGTCTCCCTCTTGACTTATGGTGATGGATTTTATTTGCTACTTAATGTCATTCTACATAATGAAAAATTAAAATTCCAAATTGTTAGCATAAATTTTACCATTCATCTTTGTTTTGTGCAATGACAGTTTTTTTTTTTCTTTTTTTATTATACTTTAAGTTCTAGGGTACATGTGCACAATGTGCAGGTTTGTTACATATGTATACATGTGCCATGTTGTTGTGCTGCACCCATTAACTTGTCATTTACATTAGGTATATCTCCTAATGCTCTCCGCCCCCACCTCCCCCACCCCATGATAGGCCCCGGTGTGTGATGTTCCCCTTCCTGTGTCCAAGTGTTCTCATTGTTCAATTCCCACCTATAAGTGAGAACATGCGGTGTTTGGTTTTTTGTCCTTGCGATAGTTTGCTGAGAATGATGATTTCCAGCTTCATCCATGTCCCTACAAAGGACATGAATTCATCCTTTTTTATGGCTGCATAGTATTCCATGATGTATATGTGCCACATTTTCTTAATCCAATCTATCATTGCTGGACATTTGGGTTGGTTCCAAGTCTTTGCTATTGAATAGTGCCACAATAAGCATATGTGTGCATGTGTCTTTATAGCAGCATGATTTATAATCCTTTGGGTATATACCGTGTAATGGGATGGCTCACTCAAATGGTATTTCCAGTTCTAGATCCTTGAGGAATCGCCACACTATCTTCCACAATGGTTGAACCAGTTTACAGTCCCACCAACAGTGTAAAAGTGTTCCTATTTCTCCACATCCTCTCCAGCATCTGTTGTTTCCTGACTTTTTAATGATCGCCATTCTAACTGGTGTGTGATGGTATCTCATTGTGGTTTTGATTTGCATTTCTCTGATGGCCAGTGATGATGAGCATTTTTTGCAGTGTCTGTTGGCTGCATAAATGCCTTCTTTTGAGAAGTGTCTGTTCATATCCTTTGCCCGCTTTTTGAATGTGTTGTTTGTTTTTTTGTTGTAAATTTGTTTGAATTCTTTGTAGATTCTGGATATTAGCCCTTTGTCAGATGAGTAGATTGCAAAAATTTTCTCCCATTCTGTAGGTTACCTGTTCACTCTGATTGTAGTTTTCTTTTGCTGTGCAGAAGCTCTTTAGTTTAATTAGATCCCATTTGTCAATTTTGGCTTGTGTTGCCATTGCTTTTGGTGTTTTAGACATGAAGTCTTTGCCCATGCCTATGTCCTGAATGGTATTGCCTAGGTTTTCTTCTAGGGTTTTTATGGTTTTAGGTCTAACATTTAAGTCTTTAATCCATCTTGAAATAATTTTTGTATAAGGTATAAGGAAGGGATCCAGTTTCAGCTTTCTACATGTGGCTAGCCAGTTTTCCCAGCACCATTTATTAAATAGGGAATCCTTTCCCTATTTCTTGTTTTTGTCAGGTTTGTCAAAGATCAGATGGTTGTGGATGTGTGTTATTATTTCTGAGGGCTCTGTTCTGTTCCATTGGTCTATATCTCTGTTTTGGTACCAGTACCATACTGTTTTGGTTGCTGTAGCCTTGTAGTATTGTTTGAAGTCAGGTAGCGTGATGCCTCCAGCTTTGTTCTTTTGGCTTAGGATTGACTTGGCAATGTGGGCTCTTTTTTGGTTCCATATGAACTTTAAAGTAGTTTTTTTCAATTCTGTGAAGAAAGTCATTGGTAGCTTGATGGAGATAGCATTGAATCTATAAATTACCTTGGGCAGTATGCCCATTTTCACGATATTGATTCTTCCTATCCATGAGCATGGAATGTGCTTCCCTTTGTTTGTGTCCTCTTTTATTTCATTGAGCAGTGGTTTGTAGTTCTCCTTGAAGAGGTCCTTCACATCCCTTGTAAGTTGGATTCCCTTTGAAGCAACTGTGAATGGAAGTTCACTCATGATTTGGCTCTCTGTTAGTCTGTTATTGGTGTATAAGAATGCTTATGATTTTTGCACATTGATTTTGTATCCTGAGACTTTGCTGAAGTTGCTTATCAGCTTAAGGAGATTTGGGGCTGAGACGATGGGCTTTTCTAAATATACAATCATGTCATCTGCAAACAGGGACAATTTGACTTCCTCTTTTCCTAATTGAATACCTTTTATTTCTTTCTCCTGCCTGATTGCCCTGGCCAGAACTTCCAACACTATGTTGAATAGGAGTGGTGAGAGAGGGCATCCCTGTCTTGTGCCAGTTTTCAAAGGGAATGCTTCCAGTTTTTGCCCATTCAGTATGATATTGGCTGTGGGTTTGTCATAAATAGCTCTTATTATTTTGAGATACGTCCCATCAATACCTAATTTATTGAGAGTTTTTAGCATGAAGAGCTGTTGAATTTTGTCAAAGGCCTTTTCTGCATCTATTGAGATAATCATGTGTTTTTTGTCTTTGGTTCTGTTTATATGCTAGATTACTTTTATTGATTTTCATATGTTGAACCAGCCTTGCATCCCAGTGATGAAGCCCACTTGATCATGGTGGATAAGCTTTTTGATGTGCTGCTGGATTCGGTTTGCCAGTATTTTATTGAGGATTTCTGCATCAATGTTCATCAGGGATATTGGTCTAAAATTCTCTTTTTTTGTTGTGTCTCTGCCAGGCTTTGGTATCAGGATGATGCTGGCCTCATAAAATGAGTTAGGGAGGATTTCCTCTTTTTCTGTTGATTGGAATAGTTTCAGAAGGAATGTTACCAGCTCCTCTTCATACCTATGGTAGAATTCGGCTGTGAATCCGTCTGGTCCTGGACTTTTTTTGGTTGGTAGGCTATTAATTATTGCCTCAATTTCAGAGTCTGTTATTGGTCTATTTGGGGATTCAACTTCTTCCTGGTTTAGTCTTGGGAGGGTGTATGTGTCCAGGAATTTATCCATTTCTTCTAGATTTTCTAGTTTATTTGTATAGAGGTGTTATAGTATTCTTGGATGGTAGTTTGTATTTCTGTGGGATCGGTGGTGATATCCCCTTTATAATTTTTTATTGTGTCTACTTGATTCTTCTCTCTTTTCTTCTTTATTAGTCTTGCTAGCGATCTATCAATTTTGTTGATCTTTTCGAAAAATCAGCTCCTGGATTCATTGATTTTTTGAAGGGTTTTTTGTGTCTCTATCTTCTTCAGTTCTGCTCTGATCTTAGTTATTTCTTGCCTTCTGCTAGGTTTTGAATGTGTTTCTCTTGCTTCTCCAGTTGTTTTAATTGTGATGTTAGGGTGTCAATTTTAGATCTTTCCTGCTTTCTCCTGTGGGCATTGCAATGATAATTTTAAATACAAATATGGAAACATTTGACTTGTATTCTGGGTCACCACAATTATATATTTTGTGTTTTGTAGCTCATTAAGACATACGTATTTTATTCTTACCAATATAGTGAAGAAGTTCCATAGAACTAACTGAACTATTTTTTGTTTCACTGTTTTGTTTTGATATGTGCATATTTTCTACCTTTAGCTTACTGATGAGTAAGGAAGGATTGAAAGGAAAGGTAACTGTGGATTGCTGTATGTTTCTCTTTCTTTCAGAGTCATCATTTTCAGCATACGTAGTTGACCAATACATAAAAGAAACATGAATAAGAAAGAATACAGAGTTTTTAGTCATTTGTGTTTGTTAGAAAGTCATTTGCCCTTCTTTCTACTTTTGAAGCATGTTCAGATTTAAATGGAATATTAGGTCTCCTGGTGATGTCAGTACTCCCATTTATTGAATTGTACATGTAACACACCCTGGACATAACTGAGTCTTGCTCCATGAGAATTTGGCACTGATGGAGTACTGCATGACAATGTATGAAATATCTAAAAATGGGTCAACAAGGAATGGGACTTCCATATCAAACAAGTCTGTCCTCTGCTCATTCACATGCTCCACTGTCCCATCTGACTTCTCTTACAAAACACAAGTTTGAAGAGAAAAGTATTAAAACTCACAAGACATTAAAGCAGAGCATTAAACCAAGCATGGGTTCCTTCTGAACACAGGGCACTGTGCAACTGTATAGATTTTACATCTTGGAAGCTGGCCTTGACAATGTTACTCAGTTTTTTTGAAATATGAAAAAATAATCACACAGTGGCCGCCATCAATAAATGTTTTGAAGGATTTTTCAACTATTTCACAGAATTTTCCTTCAATTTTTTTCAAACCCAAGAATAGGAATTTACCTGTCTTTGAAAGACTTCACCTTAACATTCATTAAAGTCATTTCTATGCGTGTAACAAATACTCACATGTACCCCATAAATATGTAAAATAATGTATATTAATTTTTTAAAAGGCTATTTTCTTTCTGGAAGCACATGCAGATTCAGTGTTCCCAATTGTCCATTTGCTTGCCTCCCTGGAGGGTTTTGCACCTGGGGGCAATGCACCTTAGTAAGAAACAAGACCAGTGAGAGTATGCCTGCTTTTGTGAAGCTAGCTAAAGGGCATAATGAAAGGGGAGATGGAAAAGAGAAACTTGCCCTTCTTTATGGGCTTATTTTCAGGCAAATCAATTGGAGAAAAAATTATATACAGAAGTTGATGATTTGGAAATTGATTCCCTTAAAACTATGTGCACCTGGGTACCCTTTAGAATGTCTTCACATGATTCCAGTATAACGTAGTTCCTCAGTTAGAAGGTTGGTTAGGGAAGTAAAAACAAATCCATAATTTATATAAAAAAGAAACAATAAAAATCTTAGCAAAATTTAAGTTGTACATAGAAACTTCTGATTTTATCCCCCAAACTTGAGTACAATAAATCCTTGTTAGAAGAATTAGAAGAATTAGATTTGGCCATTTAGCTGAGGAATGACACAGATTCTGGGGTTTCATTGCTCATAACTCTGGAGAATGTGGCTGAGGAAGTTAAATATCATTGAATTCTCAGAAATAAAATCTCTAGTATTCTTGGCATAATAATACATGTGTTTATCTTTTAGACTCAGGTTGTTTTTTAATTGAGCACATTGTTTATATAGGACATCAAATGTAAAAATCCAAGTTTAAAAAGTTTCTTGGTAAAGTCCTGTCTTTAGAATTTTTTAAGACACATACTCACTGATGAGTTCTCATCCTTAACGCTTTATCTACTTATTTGTACTCTGTGGGTAATATCTTATGTAGATGAGCCTAATGTATGTATATTCTTGCCTATATTTTAAAGGACTATCATATACTATTTTTCTGAAACTGAAAAAGGCTTGCATTACATTTATTTAAATTTTGTTCTAGTATTCTCTCTGATAAGTAACCATTTTGTTTTCAAGATAATATTCTGCACAAGAATAAATGAACTTCAGGTTCTGTAATCCACAATTTATCACAGAGCCCTTTTTTATGCAGCACAGAAAGACTGAGCACCTAATATGTGTCAGAGGCACTGTATGCTGTAAGTGCACACAGTGGTAGCATACAGTGGTAATAACATGGAGAGTTTTTGTAGCCTTGGCTGTAGAGATCTGGGATGACCTAGGAATGTTTGCAGCTTTTATGGACCTTTCCTTAGTCTTTAAGTCACTGAACTAACTAAGCTGCAGAAGCTCATAATATAGGAACTGTTTATTGTTGTTCATACAGAATTTCCATTCTAATACCATTCAAGTGACAATGTTTATAGTTATAGTCTCTTGAAGGATAAGAAAAATGATTTCAGCTTGTAATACCAGCAATTTGGGAGGCCAAGGTGGGTGGATCACTTGTGGTCAGGAGTTCAAGACCAACCTGGCCAACATGGTGAAACACCGTCTCTACTAAAAATACAAAAATTAGCTGGGCATGGTGGCACATGCCTGTAATTCCAGCTATTTGGGTGGCTGAGGCATGAGAATTGCTTGAATGTGGGAGGCCGAGGTTGCAGTGAGCTGAGATTGTGCCACTGCACTTCAGCCTGGGTGACAGAGCAAGACTGTCTCAAAAAAAAAAAAAAAAAGAAAAGAAAAGAAAAAAAAAGAAAAATGATTTCATATGAAATAAACACACCAATGTCTTTTAGATCCCATTCGTTTTTTAAAAAAATAGATTTAAGGGTACAAGTGCAACTATATTACATGGATATATTGCATAGTGGTGAAGTCTGGCCTTTTCGTGCACCCATAATTTGAATAGCGTATACGGTACCCAATAGGTAGTATTTCATCCCTTAACCGCCTCTCACTCTCCTACCTCCGGGAGTCTCCGATATCTATTATTTCACTCTTTATGTCTGTGTGTACCTGTTGTTTAGCTCCCACTTATAAGTGAGAACATGCGGTTTTTGACTTTCTGAGTCATTTTACTTAGGATAATGGCATGCAGTCCCATCATGTTGCTGCAAAAGTTCATTTTATTCTTTCTTATAGCTGAGTAGTATTCCATTATATATATTTTTATATATATAAAATTTTATATATATATATGATGGACACTTACATTGATTCCATGACTTTGCTGTTGTGAATAATGCTGTGATAAACATACAAATGCAGATGTCTTTTTGAGACCTGCATTTTGTGGTAGATACCCTGTAGTGGGATTGCTGGAGGGATTGGTAGTTCTAATTTTAGTTCTTTAAGGAATCTCCATACTGTTTTCCATAGAGGTTATTTTAATTTACATTCCCACTAACATTGTATAATTGTTCCCTTTTCTCCACATTTTTGCCAACATCTGTTCCTTATATTTTAATCATTTGAAGTTGTTTTCGGATGAGATACCTACATACCACCCTAATGTTGAAAATAGAAAAGTATTTTTTTCTTTGTTGATGAAATGGCTTGATTGTCATGTACTAGAAATGACCTCAACACATAATTGATCCTGTCTTTTAATTATTGTCAGAAATAGTGGCATAAGATCCACTATTCAAAACTCAAATCATAAGTTTTGGCAGATGTCCTCTAGCTGTAATTGGCTTCTATCCAATACTTCCACGTAACAGGTCAAATCATTCAGTCATCTATGAATATATTTGGCCAATTAATCTATCTTGAAGAGTCACCAGGAGTTACATTGCTTAAAATGAGATATGTTTTATAGATATTTTTGTGAGATATTTTATGTCTATGGTGTGGAGTAGAATGGATATTGGTAACCACCACCTTGAAATTAATCTGGGCTATATGTCTAATTTTTGAAGCAGAGGCAGAGTTATTTTTGAGAAAAATCTCAACCCTTCTCTCAGTCATTCCTTTGGCCCACTTCCAAGCAAAGGTGACATGGCCAGTTTTCAAAAATGTATTTTATGCCTATTCTGTGTTCATCAAGTGTCAGGCACATAACTCCACTTTAAAATTGCAACATCGAATTTTACTCTTTTTGTCAAACAATTTTAACCTTGAACTCTCTGGTGTCCAAATCTTCCCAAGGATTCATTTCAAGAAACAATATTTATGAAAGAGATATTATCCACAGATTATTGTAGGTATTCTTAATTTCATTCTGGGGTCAGGCCAGCTACATATTTATAACATATTGTTTTGTGATAATAAAGATTGCTTTTACCACATTTTTTTCAGGAGAATGGCATTGACATCATTAGGGGACATAATAAAAAGCATAATAAGAAACAGCAATCATTAGCAGGGCTATCCCTAGGGATAATTGAGGGCATTTTCACTTTTATCAAGCATAAAGGAGATCTCATAACACTGTTTCCCTTACAAAAATTTTCTCTCCCTTAAGGAACTGTGATCCAATTTCTTTTTTTGGAAAACAGCTTACAACTATTAACTAGAATTTTTGGTATACATGCTTGTGTACTAACCTTACTTCTGGCTTTATTTATTTATTTATTTATTTATTTATTTATTTATTTATTTGAGATGGAGTTTTACTCTTGTGGCCCAGGCTGGAGTGCAATGGCGCGATCTCGGCTCACTGCAACCTCTGCCTCCTAGGTTCAAGTGATTCTCCTGCCTCAGCCTCCCGAGTAGTTGGAATTACAGGCATGCGCCACCACACCCAGCTAATTTTGCATTTTTAGTAGAGATGGGGTTTCTCCATGTTGGTCAGGCTGGTCTCAAACTCCTGACCTCAGGTGATCCGCCCACCTCGGCCTCCCAAAGTGGTTGGATTACAGGCCTGGCCTCATTTACTTTTTTATTCAATTTCCTCATCTCTTTTTTTATCCTATTCCATGTCATGTGTTGTAGTAATGTGATAATATATACGTAATATAAATTTCAAATAAAATATTTTCATGGCTATATATTAAATAAACAGAAACGTTCAGGATTTCAGAAATAGAGCCATTTCTTCTGTGGTTAGATTGTGAAAGGTGATAATAGAATTTGGTTAGTAGCAAAGAGTGGAGCTGAAGTTCTTTAGAGGGTCAAGTGACACAAGCTACTGCATTAGTTTTATTATTCAGGAATCTAGAAGCTGCTTAAGATGATAACAGCAGGTAGAGTAGAAAGGAGCACACTTGGTTAACTGTATCAGTGTTTGAAGATCATCATTGGGTGCCTGGAAGCTCATATAAGAAAAATGAGAGAGTTGTAACACTCACAGTTAATGGCATGGGCAAATTTAATGTAAGAGGGCAAAAGTATTTTGAGAAAAGATATTTAGAACATAGCGGATTTCCATAGGAAACAGTGAAAAGATTGGTGTAGGTACGGGTGAGGAAGAGCATATCAGAGTGAGAAAGGGAATAAGAAAGGTTAGTGCTTGTGTGTGGTGGAGGCATCCCACAGTTATGCAGACTTTAGATGATAAAGATAGAAGGTCTGTATAGAACAAACTGATCTCAGTGCAAATCGTATCAGGACCTGGTTCCTATAGCCATCACCTCGGGTCTTGACTGGCTACAAAGACATTGAAATTGGCATATCCAACATTCCATTTCCTACTTAATCTGTGCTTGCAGGTATATGGACATATCTGTTACCTTCATCAATTCTCTTAAGCTTCTCATTCTCTCCCAGAAATTTACACATCTAGAATCCAAACCAAGAAGAAAAATTCAAATTGTGCTGATTGAAAAATTTACAAAAGCAAAATATTGATATCCCTTGCATGTGCATCTATCCAGTGCCTTTTACTCAGCTAGACCCCTCCTATAGACAGGACCAGTAAGAGGAAGCTCTGTGCGTCATCCCAGCTTGCTTTCAGCCCAAGTTCTATGTCTTCTTGCCCTGTTCTTGCCCCATTCCTTACCTCTAACTCCACTCCTGAGTTTGTCTAGCTCCTGACCTTTTAGATTTCATCTTTTACTCCAGACCCTAAATTTATTCCTTAGAGCTGATGACAGATTTATTGTCCTAGTATGATCTTTTGTGCTCCCATCTCAAATACAATTTTATGCTGATCTTTGTCTATATTCACTTCTGGACATACACACACCAGGTTGCTCCTCTCCCAATCAAAACTGCTACTGGACACTCACCTAGCCACAGTGGTCAGAGTTAAACACTTCACCATTTTATGGGCCTAATAAACAAATCCCCTCTGTCTCTAATCTAGTTCTTCATTTTCAACATCATATTCACTCAACCCTCTGCTCTTGTCTAAGTGATCTGCTAATCTGATAATACAATCTATCCGAATGTGGCACTAGTTCATGTGCTAATGTCTCCTAAGGGTTAAATATATTTTAAAATTTGATCTTCTCTGGATTTTGTCATAAAAGTGTTCAAATTTCTATTAGTGACAGTAGGACAAGTAATTTGGTGGTAAACAGGGCCTTTGGGGCTACTAAACCTTTCAGGATAGAGAGCCACCCACTCCACATTCACAGTGAGTCCTTTGTTTCACCTGTTTTTGCCCCCTGCCGTATTAGAGTTCTGAGGTAACCACAGGCAGGGAATCAGATGGGGGTTTTGAAATAATAAAATAATAGACATGACTAGAAATGAACACTATTATTTGGTTGGTGGTATATTCTTGTAAACAGATTATATGGCTAAGTCTGAAAGTTCGGGAGTATTTAGAGTAATAACAAATTATTAATATGTCTGGAATGTTTTGTACAATTAACAAATCAATTAGTTTTCATATCCAAAAGTTACAGTGAAAAAAATAAAACTGAAAAAGTTTAAATAAACTGCTTACATCACATGGTCTACTACAAAGAATACCTTTCATTTATTCTGCATTTGTCATTCCAAGACTTTGCTGCATTCACTCATTTAATTGTGACAACATTTCTATGACGTGCTTACTTAGATATCTCCATTCACGTGTGAGTAAAATCAGGGAACAGAGAAGTTAAGTAACTTGCCCAGCACACTCAGGTAATAAATAATAAGGCAGGGCTCAAATTCAGGCAGTCTCGCTCAAATGTCACATTGTAATCCCTCTAGCAGGCTGCCCAGGTAGCAGGCTGCCCAGGTAGGAGACTGTGAAATTGAGATGCCTTCCATCTCTATCCTCCTGCTCTTTCTAGCAAGCAGAAGACCTAATCACAGTACATCTGTTCCTCTTTCTCCCTGTGAGGAAGCCCTCTATGAATTGGGAAAGGTGTGGTGCTTTGTTGGTACTCAGACAAAAATAAAGAGAAAAGTGAATAATGACTATTAATAAAACTTAATCCCAGGAAATGCCACTTGCCTGCTGTAAGTGTGTATTGCTCCTCGGTATCATTGAAAGATAAACACGTGGCCCTCACAGGAAGCTATTTGGTTTGGGTAGCAATGATTTTTGACACTCAGGAAACTTGCAGTGCATAGAGAAACGTAAAGAGCATCTCACTGTACTTCTTGGTGGTGATAAAATGCTCCATAAATAAACATTTCACTTTGTTTCCTTCTTAGTGAAATTATCTTTGCTGCTTTGATAGATTTTTCTTGTATTTAGGGTAACCTGTCCTAACCTCTGTTGGAACGAAATGAGAAATACTGCCTATATACAAGATAAGACAAATCTAATAGTTGTGTTTGAAAACATCAAATAACAGTGGGCTCAAGATGTGTGATATAAAGCTATCAATTAATTTTGTTGTAACTGTATGCACCTGTGAACAACTGCTTAATTAAAGAGTCAAACAGAAATCTCTCACAATAATACCTCACATTACTTGCACTTATGTGACTGTCAATTAGCTAGAGTGGATAAACACAATTGGAAGCATGCCATGTGGACGTCTGGTAAAGAAAAGAAGAAGAAAAGAGAAAGATATAAGCAGGAGCTACGTGAATAAAGAAAAGAGGACCCACAGACAAATATGGACAATTCTCTATGGGATAAATATCTATTTCAATAAAGGAAATGAAAGTAGATTCTTTATACTGAAAGAACCAAACTCCCTCAATCACTGGAACAAAGAAAATGAAGCTTTCATACACAAATATACATCAAAAGAAAAAAGAGCCTGAGCATCTGGGCTGCTTGTGAACATGAGCTTAGTGCTGGTGTTTTATTTCTATATAAAAGAAAGCAAGGCGAATCCCTAGCTACTTGTCTCCCAAGATGATAATATTCTACCTCAAGCTCTCTCCCCACAATTTTACTCTGTCCACAATTCTTTAGTCTTAAAAGAAAAAAAAAAAAAACCACTGTGGAAAGGTGTTGAGGGAAAGAAGCTTAAAACTTGTGAGAAGAGAATGTCAAGGTTTCCTCCGGGAAAAAAAAGAGATGGATTGTACAAGTTGGAGATTTCTAGTTGTCAGCTTTGGCTCTCCGATGATATATTTTGCTAATTGAAGGAAAAGGACTGTGGAGTTATGAGATAGAAAATTGAACAGGCAACATTTGAATTATGATGAAATTATAGCCCACCACTAAAAGCCTCCTTCAACCTTTGCCGTTGAAGAGAGTAGTGAAATTGTTACTACTTTAATCCAGGTACTCCTGAGAAAGTTTCAATAATTTCTCAAGAAACCAGACAACACATTTGCTGTCTTACTAGAGAACAATCACTCCAACCCTCCAAACCCACAAAAGGCAGGAGGCTCCTTGAGGGCTTAAGGTTATGTCTGAACTCTCGGTTTTCCTAGCGCCTAACATAGTGCCTAGCATTCAGTATAAATAAACTTAAATGAAAATTACACTTCAAAAAAATCTCCTGTCCCACCCTCACTTTTCTAGTTCTTGAGCCTTTGAGGCAGAGACTAAGCTTTATTGTATGAGTGAAAACATGAAAATTTCACTGGAAGAAAGCCAGACTCACTTAACATAGTTGTTGGCTGCTAAGTCTTTGCAACTACACATAAATCTAGAAGAGAAAACATTTGAAGGATCGAGTGGCCACACATGTTGTCCATGTGTCTGCCCAAAATATTCATATGACTATACATTTTTTCTAACTTTAAAATCAGGGTACATTTCTAAGGCTGGTACAAAGAGATCTCTCAAAATAATGCCTAAAATTATTTGCAGTTATATATCTGTGATAATATGCTCCATTTCTGGCTGATCACCCACTTTTGTAAATAAAGTTTTGTTGGAACACAGCATGCTAATTCATTTATGCATTGTCTATGGCTGATTTCACACTACAATGGAAGTGTTGATTAGTTGCCACAGAGACGGTGTGACCTGCAAAGGCTATACTATTTACTATCAGGTCCTTTGCAGAAGCAGTCTGCTGACCCCTGATTTATTGAATGTGGTTATAATTTTTTTTAATGCTTGCTTCCAAAATGTCAGGCATTGTGGTATATCTCATTACCTCATTTACATGGTTTATTTCATTAAATTGACACAACAGATATATGTGGTTGATTTGATTTTTACCCCCATTTTCACAGTTGAAGTTTAGAAAGCTTAAGTGAGTAGCCTGATGTCCAGAGGTCACTCTTAGAAACCCTCCTTGAAGCCGTGCTGCTGGGTTGCTCAGTAAAGCTTCTGTTTACTTCCCTTTGTATTCCAATAACAATCTGTAATTACCTGTGAGGACAATTATTGCACTATTGCTATTGTTGGGATGTGTCCTGCTACCTGCCAACTAGACAGGCCTGGGTCATGTTCATTTCAATTCCATGCATGTATTCTCAGCGATTACAACATTGTAGGTGTTTGCTGAATTTTCACTGAATGAATGAGTGAATGCCTGTCTCTGTGTATGCTAGTATATTAACTCTAGCTGCCACAAGTAAATACCATAGACTGGATTGCTTAAAGAATAGAAAATTATCTTCTCATAGTCTTAAGGACTAGGAATTCCAAGATCAAGGTTCCAACAGACTTTGGTTTTTGGTGATGACCTCTTTTCCTAGCTTGTAGATGTCTATCTTCTTGCTGTATCCTCACATGGAAGCGGGTGGGGGGAGAGAGAGAGAAAGAGAGAGAGAGAGAACAGAAAACTCAGGTGTCTCTTCCTCTTATGGGCACTAGTTTTATCAGGTCAGGGCTCCACCGAAATTTACCTTACCTAATTTAACCTTACCTCCTTAAAAGCCCTGTCTCCAATACAGTCCCATGGGGGTTTAGGAATTTAACATATGAATTTGGGGAGGGGCACAATTTAGTCCATAGCAGCTAGAAAGGGAGACATTATATATCGGCTGACCCAACCTCCATTTTCAATCTCCTCTGCTTTGCTGTCTCTATAATGAAGCTGTAAAAGTTAAAAATTTTCACTTGTAACTAGAGGTGGCCATGTGACTGAGACCAGCCAAGGAGTGGACATCTGTTACTTCAGCCCATTTCCCTTCTTCCTTATTTTTGCCAGGACACAGACATGGTATCTAAAAGTTCAGCTGCTATGTTTGTATCACAAGATGTGAAGCCACATGCTAAGTATGGGAGAGCTAGTAGGGGCCTGGATCCTCAATGGTACTGATGATCTGAACACCAACCTAGTACTGCCTATTGCCGCATCTCTCGATGCATGATACAGTACTTGCAGCCAAATGCAGTTTGAACTGATTTAACCTGGCATACACAGAATGACTCTTCCTACTTATTAGAGCTACAGGGAGCAGTTCTACAGCTAACCAGTTCTGTGATACTGAGTATCACCTTTGTTTCTAAGGTGCTGAGCTCAATGACTGTTACTGTTTCTTCTAGTTCTAAAATTAAATGATTTTATGGTTCATGCAGTGAATAATCTGGCAATAAACCAGGACATTCTCAAATCATACACTAATAATTTGCTTAAATAAGAGAATTATTGCAAGAGTTGATATAAGATAGATATTATTGTCGACTTTTTGAATATTTTTAGTAAACCTTACCTGTGAAACCTTCTTGACCTGCTGTCTTTGTCTTCTCTCAGAGAATTATTTTAAATTTGTACTGATTTATTTTCTCAGAGAGATTTTGCTTGAGCTAGTAAGAATTGACAAAGAATGTTAAAATGTCTCTCGTGTCCTGCTGGTAGGTGATGCTGCTCTCTCAAACGTGTCCCTGTGACTCCAATTGACCCTTAAATATACTGTTAAGCACATATTTTAAACATGACAAGATAATCAATAAATCTCATAAATATTGATGTCTCAGAGAGGAAATGCATCTTCGACTTGGGATCAGCATATGGAGTGCAGCACCCAGCCAGTCATCCTTCGAGTCCTATAGAGAGTCATTGTCACATTATTTTTGCTTTCTTACTGTGTCATTACAGATTGTGTCAAGGATGCCTGTCAGGCACTTGTACCAACAATGTTTTGAAGCCATGACATCATTTTGACACTAATTTCCATTTTTCCATTATTCCATAAGAAGCCCCTAACCTCTCCTGTTTTATGGCAAGCTCTTTACTGTCTAAGAATTCAGACATCAACTGTGAATATTGCTTCTATGAAAAAAAATACAGAAAAAGACAGGTTGGTTGTTAATTGATGTGCTGAGGATTAGAGTAATCTTTGTATATCTTGGTAATATGATATACAGTGATTGGGCTGATTTTTCCCTCTCCTTTAAGTCCCTGCCTAATGACACCCCCATTTTTCAATTCCTTAATAGCCACAAGCCCTATAGAAGGAAATCCTTGGCCTTACCACGTACTTTCATTTGCAGGAATAACTTCAATGTGAGTGAGATAAAACAGTGGAAGGCAGTGATTTTTCAGAGTACTTTACACTGTCACCCACCCCATCCAAGTCTGTCACACTTACAGTAAGTGGTTCCACTAAAAACCTTCAGTTTATTGATGCCTCCTTCACCCTTCATTGCATGTTTGAATCTGGCTCTGTTAGAATGGACTGTGTATAATAGAAAGTGTTCTACCCCCTGCAGGGAACTCACGGGAGTAGGAGCTGTACACGTCCTCGGAGACTGGAGATGTTACAGGCTTTTCCTGCTCTTTGAGGAAGGATTTTCCTAACTAAATGGGCTAACTGTGCCCAGAGAGGTGACAAAATTTAAGAATCCATAGTTAGAGAAAAAAACTAGAAGGGTTAGTAGAAAAGTAAAGATGAACTCTTATCCTAACAGGGGTTCTTATTATCTAAGAAATAAGCTGAATAAGCATGAAAGTGCCAAGAATTAGAGCTGAGTTAGGACATTTATAATTTTTTGTGACAAAATCTAAAAATGTGGGATGTTTTTGATGCTTGAGGATAGGATAGTGGTAACATTATGGACTCTGGAGCTAGATTCCCCCAATTCAAAACTGGCTCTGTCACTTACAAACCGTGTGAGCTTGGGCAAGTTACTTAACCTGTGTGTGCCTCAAGGTCTCCTTTTGAAAATGGGGATAATAATAGTCTCTTACTTCATAAGGTCGTGATGATTGCATTACTGTACCTAAAGTGTAAAACAATATCTGGCACAAAGTGTTTATTTAATAAATATTAGTTATGATCAATAATTGGTCATTTTTTATCACTCTATAAGAGCACTTGCTTGTCAGGAATAAATCACAGCGCATCAAATACTCTCAGTGAGCTACAAAACTATCTGATCAAACCTCATTTCAACGGACCAAAGACTTTGTGATATGTCCACTTGGCTAGGCTAAACTATAGTCCTCAGAGTTACCTTCCTGGTGTGTTTCCAGGTAGTATGGACTAAGAGAGAGATTCTCTCAGAAGAGCTGGAGGATAGAAGGGAGGTAGAAGCCATTCTACGAGGGGATTTTCCAGGTGTAATTTAAAACTCCTAATCAGTTGCCT
This sequence comes from Homo sapiens, assembly GCF_000001405.40. Classification (NCBI taxonomy): domain Eukaryota; kingdom Metazoa; phylum Chordata; class Mammalia; order Primates; family Hominidae; genus Homo; species Homo sapiens. The sequence goes on along the minus strand of NC_000013.11, from coordinate 72,070,983 downwards.
TCAATTAATCCAAAGGATGGGCCTGTCTGAATCTTATCAGTTCATTCTGCCTTTCTCTCATTAGAATTTTAGGTATCCATATTTCATTTTTTGATTTTTATTTTCCTACATTTATCCCATCTCTCATGGCTTCCTTATTACCAGCCCCCAATATTCAAATAAAGTGAAGCCCTTTGAAAGAGGGCTAGAGCTTTCCTGAATCTGGACTCCAAGCTCCAGCTGATGGTCCTGGGATCCCCTTGCTGGTAAATGTCCCTTCTTGAGTACCTGCCTGAGGACTTCAAGCTTCAGTTTGTGAGGTTCTACCCTGCCCGTGATCTTACCTTCCTGCCTGCTTGCCTACAGAATTTAGGGCTTGCTTAGCCGGTCTCCTACTACATTTTTGTAGGACAATTCCTTGTAATACATTTACCTATTTATTCTATCTCTTGCTAGTTCTGCTTCTCTAGTTGAATCCTGATTGATACCCTACCAAATTTTTGGTCAAGAATATTACATATTTGAGTCAGCTTAAAGTTCAAAACCACTCTTCCAGATATCTGCTTAATTAACAGCATGGACAACAATTATAAAATCTTATTAAAAGAACTGCATGAAAGAGATAATTCAGCTAAAATACACTGGTATAAATGATTAATTTTTGGAACATTGGGGACCTACTAAGGAAGCCAGGAGAGATAAGTGTGGAAACATAAAAATTATAAAAACAAATTATGGAATATTGTGTCAAAAATTATATTGAAAACTAGGGCAGAATGAAGAGATGTAGGTTTGAAAAGGGCTCAAGTTTAGGCTGAATAGAAGTTCATGCAAAATCAAAGAAGGCAAACAAGAAAAAATATAGTAGCAATATTTTTAAAAAATTAAAAAGAGATCAGAAAAAAGTGACTAACAGTATATATAATATAAAAAGCCCTAGTGAGTTAATGAATTCATACTATACTATACTCCTGTATTAAATGTTGAACAAAAAACTTAATTTATTTAAATAAAGTAGATCCAGACAGGCATCTTTTTATTTTTATTTCTTTCTACAAGTCTCTTTTAAAAAGAAAAATTAGCTACTATGAGAATAAAAATTACTGTCTGGAAGCAAGTTGAGCATTTTCAGAAGATGAATTAAATCTCTCACTATAGATTAGAAGAATTTAGTGTATTACTGCCTTAGTTTTATCCCTATAACTTTAGACATGGAAAAACTTCAAAGTGAGTAAAATAAGTGGAAAAAATATGTAGGTGCACCTCTCCCTTCCTGGGTAGTCTGTGTGAAATCTGCTTAACAGACATTTCAGTAAGAAGGACAATTATGTAATCTTTAAGTGCAACTTAGACAACCTGAACAATAGTTGATTGCTGAACATATGGGAAAAGAAAGGAGAAACGAGAATTTTGATGGAAAATCCTAGGCTGGTGTGGTTTGAAAGATAGCAAAGACAAGAGCCTGATTAAACAGGGAAAAGAGGTGAGATAATTACATCTTCTTTTCATTATAACTTCTAATTGTAAAGAAATATCATAATATTAAGAAAGTTTGGAAAAAATAATCTGCTGTGACCCTGGGATGCCATTTTCTTGCTTTCTATTTGATGGGGTTTTTAATATATTATGCTAAATTTGGGGACAAGAAAATTATATACATTTTCTTCACTTTATATTATTTAGTAACTGAAATAATGAAGATAATAAAACAGTTCCCCTTGTACTAAGCCCCTATACCTCTGGCTGGCTGCAGCCTGGCTCTCATGAAAATGGGTGTGTAATTAAGGAAGAATTTGGCCCCAAGAATATGAGAATACCATGTGGAGGATTTACTGTCAAATGATGGCTATCCATAATTGCTGTCATTAGGGCAACTTTCTTAACATCAAATCACTTAGCTTTATATATCAAAACAAATACAACTTTAACTCATTTACTAAGGGAAGTTTACACTCTGATGTGTCTGAATTGTTCTCTAATTTGACTTTTATCCTGTAGATGAAGTGGCATATTTGCATTAAAATACAATCAAATGCAGCATGATAGATTTGAGGGAATAGTGGAGGATTGAGAGCTGTGAGTTCAATTTAGTGCAATGAAAATTTGTCTTGCCTTTTGAAGTGATATACAAGAAAATTGTCAAAAAAGTCATTGCTTAATACTAAAATTCTAAAAATAATCTTAATTGCACAGTTGCTCGGTCATTCAACAAATTGAATATTCAGACTATGGTTTAGCCTATACTAGGATGTAGGTAGAAGACAGAAAATAATGATGGCATTAATACATAGGTTTTCCATACTGCTTTCTAATTTTCTTTTTTTTTTTGAGACGGAGTCTTACTCTGTGGCCCAGGCTGGAATGCAGTGGTGCAATCTCTGCTCACTGCAAGCTCCGCCTCCTGGGTTCACACCATTCTCCTGCCTCAGCCTCCAGAGTAGCTGGGACTACAGGTACCCACCACCACTCCCAGCTAATTTTTTTTTTTTTTGTATTTTTAGTAGAGATGGGGTTTCACCATGTTAACCAGGATGGTCTCGATCTCCTGACCTCATGATCTGTCTGCCTTGGCCTCCCAAATATAATTTTTAAAATAATTGTTTTTTAAAAAATTATTATCCTTTAAGTTCTGGAGTACGTGTGCAGAACGTGCAGGTTTGTTACATAGGTATACATGTGCCACAGTGGTTTGCTGCACCCATCAACCCGTCATCTACATTAGGTATTTCTCCTAATGCTATCCTTCCACTAGTCCCCAACCCCCAACAGGCCCTGGTGTGTGATGTTCCCTTCCTTGTGTCTATGTGTTCTCATTGTTCAACTCCCACTTCTAAGTGAGACCATGCGGTGTTTGGTTTTCTGTCCCTGTGTTAGTTTCCTGAGAATGATGGTTTCCAGCTTCTTCCATGTCCCAGGAAAAGACATGAACTCATCCTTTTTTGTGGCTGCATAGTATTCCACGGTATATATGTGCCATATTTTCTTAATCCAGTCTATCGTTGATGGGCATTTGAGTTTGTTCCAAGTCTTTGTTATTGTGAATAGTGCTGCAGTAAACATACGTGTGCATGTGTCTTTATAGTAGAATGATTTATAATCCTTTGTAATAATCGTTTGTAAATCCAATAATGGGATTGCTGGGTCAAATGGTATTTCTGGTTCTAGATCCTTGAGGGATAAGCACACTGTCTTCCACAATGATTGAACTAATTTACACTCCCGCCAACAGTGTAAAAGCATTCCTATTTCTCCACATCCTCTCCAACATCTGCTGTTTCCTGACTTTTTAATGATTGCCATTTTAACTGGCATGAGATGGTGTCTCATTGTGGTTTTGATCTGCATTTCTCTAATGAGCAGTGATGATGAGCTTTTTCTCATATGTTTGTTGGTCACATAAATGTCTTCTTTGGAGAAGCCTCTGTTCACATCCTTTGCCCACTTTTGGATGGGTTTTTTTTTTTTTTCTGGTAAATTTGTAGATTCTGGATATTAGCCCTTTGTCAGATGGATAGATTGCAAAAATTTTCTCCTATTCTGTTTGTTGCCTGTTGACTCTGATGATAGTTTCTTTTGCTGTGCAGAAGCTCTTTAGTTTAATTAGATCCCATTTGTCAATTTTGGCTTTTGTTGCCATTGCTTTTGATGTTTTAGTCATGAAGTCTTTGCCCATGCCTATGCCCTGAATGGTATTGCCTAGGTATTCTTCTAGGGTTTATATGGCTTTAGGTCTTATGTTTAAGTCTTTAATCCACCTTGGGTTAATTTTTGTATAAGGTGTAAGGAAGGGATCCAGTTTCAGTTTTCTGCACATGGCTAGCCAGTTTTCCCAACACTATTTATTAAATAGGGAATCGTGTCCCCATTGCTTGTTTTTGTCCCATTTGTCAAAGATCAGATGGTGGTAGATGAGTGTTGTTATTTCTGAGGCCTCTGTTCTGTTCCATTTGTCTCTATTTGTGTTTTGGTACCAGTGCCATGCTGTTTTTGTTACTGTACTCTTGTGGTATAGTTTGAAGTCAGGTAGTGTGATGCCTCCAGCTTTGTTCTTTTTGCTTAGGATTGTCTTGGTTATGCAGGATCTTTTTTGGTTCCATATGAAATTTAAAGTAGTTTTTTCTAATTCTGTGAAGAAAGTCAATGGTAGCTTGATGGGGATAGCATTGAATCTATAAATTACTTTGGGCAGTATGGCCATTTTCATGATATGGATTCTTCCTATCCATGACCATGGAATGTTTTTTTCATGTATTTGTGTCCCCTCTTACTTCCTTGAGCAGTGGTTTGTAGTTCTCCTTGAAGAGGTCCTTCACATCCCTTGTAAGTTGTATTCATAGGTATTTTATTCTCTTTGTAGCAATTGTGAATGGAAGTTCACTCATAATTTGGCTCTCTGTTTGTCTGTTATTGGTGTATAGGAATGCTTGTGATTTTTGCACATGATTTTGTATCCTGAGACTCCGATGAAGTTATTTATCAGCTTAAGGAAATTTGGGGCTGAGACGATGGGGTTTTGTAAATATATAATCATGTCATCTGCAAACAGAGACAATTTGATTTCCTCTCTTCGTATTTGAATACCCTTTATTGCTTTCTCTTGCCTGATTGTCCTGGTCAGAACTTCCAATACTATGTTGAATAGGAGTGGTGAGAGAGGGCATCCTTGTCTTGTGCTGGTTTTCAAAGGGATTGCTTCCAGTTTTTGCCCATTCAGGATGGTACTGGCTGTGAGTTTGCCATAAATGGCTCTTATTATTTTGATATACGTTCCATCGATACCTAGTTTATTGAGAGTTTTTAGCATGAAGTGAGCGGTGTTGTATTTTGTCGAAGGACTTTTCTGTATCTATTGAGATAATCATGTGGTTTTTGTCATTGGTTCTGTTTATGTGATGGATTACGTTTATTGATTTGCATATGTGAAACCAGCCTTGTATTTCAAGTATGAAGCCAACTTGATCATGGTGGATAAGCTTTTTGATGTGCTGCTGGATTTGCTTTGCCAGTATTTTATTGAGGATTTTTGCATCGATGTTCTTCAGGGATATTGGCCTGAAATCTTCTTTTTTCATTGTGTCTCTGCACAGGTTTTGGTATCAGGATGATGCTGGCCTCATAAAATGAGTTAGGGAGGATTCCCTCTGTTTCTATTGTTTGGAATGGTTTCAGAAAGAATGGGACCAGCTCCTCTTTGTACCTCTGGTAGAATTCAACTGTGAATTTGTCTGGTTCTGGACTTTTTTTGGTTGGTAGGCTATTAATTACTGCCTCAATTTCAGAACTTGTTATTGGTCTATTCAGGGATTCCACTTCTTCCTGGTTTATTTCTTCTAGATTTTCTAGTTTATTTGCACAGAGGTGTTTATGGTATTCTCTGATGGTAGTTCGTATTTCTGTGGGATCAGTGGTGATATCCCCTTCATCATTTTTTATTGTGTCTATTTGATTTTTCTCTCTTTTCTTCTTTATTAATCTGGCTAGCTGTCAATTGATTTTGTTGATCTGTTCAAAAAACCAGCTCCTGGATTCATTGATTTTTTGAAGGGTTTTTCGTGTCTCTATCTCCTTCAGTTCTGCTCTGATCTTAGTTATTTCTTGTCTTCTGCTAGCTTTTGAATTTGTTTGCTCTTGCTTCTGTAGTTCTTTTAATTTTAATGTTAGGGTGTCAATTTTAGATCTTTCCTGCTTTCTCTTGTGGGCATTTAGTGCTATAAATTTCCCTCTAAACACTGCTTTAAATGTGTCCCAGAGATTCTGGTACGTTTTGTCTTTGTTCTCATTGGTTTCAAAGAACATCTTTATTTCTGCCTTCATTTCGTTATCTACCCAGTAGTCATTCAGGAGTAGGTTGTTCAGTTATCATGTAGTTGTGAGGTTTTGAGTGAGTTTCTTAATTCTGTGTTCTAATTTGATTGCACTGTGGTCTGAGAGACTGTTTGTTATGATTTCTGTTCTTTTGCATTTGCTGAGAGGTGTTTTGCTTCCAATTATGTGGTCAATTTTAGAATAAGTGCTGTGAGGTACTGAGAAGAATGTATATTCTGTTGATTTGGGGTGGACAGTTCTGTAGATATCTATTAGGTCCTCTTAGTCCAGAGCTGAGTTCAAGTCCTGAACATTCTTGTTAATTTTCTGTCTCATTGATCTGTCTAATATTGACAGTGGGGTGTTAAAGTATCCCACTATTATTGTGTGGGAGTCTAAATCTTTTTGTAGGTCTCCAAGAGCTTTCTTTATGAATCTGAGTGCTTCTGTATTGAGTACGTATGTATTTAGGACAGTTAGCTCTTCTTGTTGAATTGATCCCTTTACCATTATGTAATGCCCTTTTTTGTCTCTGTTGATATTTGTTCGTTTAAAGTCTGTTTTATCAGAGAGTAAGATTGCAACCCCTGCTTTTTTCTTTTCTTTGCTTTCCATTTGCTTGGTAAATTTCCTTCATCCCTTTATTTTGAGCCTATGTGTGTCTTTGCACGTGAGATTGGTCTCCTGAATACAGCACACCAATGGAGCTTCACTCTATTTAATTTGCCAGTCTGTGTCTTTCAACTGGGTCATTAGGCTAATTTACATTTAAGGCTAATATTGTTATGTGTGAATTCGATCCTGTCATTATGATGCTAGCTGGTTATTTTGCCCATTAATTGATGCAGTTTCTTCATAGTGTCAATGGTCTTTACAATTTGGTATGTTTTTTTGCAGTGGCTGGTACTGGTTGTTCCTTTCCATGTTTAGTGCTTCTTTCAGGAGCCTTGTAGGGCAGGCCTGGTGGTGACAAAATCTCTCAGCATTTGCTTGTCTGTAAAAGGATTTTATTTCTCCTTTGCTTATGAAACTTAGTTTGGCTGGACATGAAATTCTGGGTTGAAAATTATTTTCTTTAAGAATGTTGAATATTGGCCCCCACTCTCTTCTGGCTTGTAAGGTTTCTGCAGAGAGATCCACTGTTAGTCTGATGGGCTTCCCTTTGTGGGTAACCCAACTTTCTCTGGCTGCCCTTAACATTTTTTCCTTCATTTCAACATTGGTGAATCTGATGATTATGTGTCTTGGGGCTGCTCTTCTTGAGGAGTATCTTTGTGGTATTCTCTGTATTTCCTGAATTTGAATGTTGGCCTGTCTTGAAAGGTTGAGGAAGATCTCCTGGATAATATCCTGAAGAGTGTTTTCCAACTTTGTTCCATTATCCCTGTCACTTTCAGGTACACCAATCAAATGTAGGTTTGGTCTTTTCACATTCTCCCATATTTCTTGGAGGCTTTGTTCATTTCTTTTTATTCTTTTTTCTCTAATCTTGTCTTCACACTTTCTTTCATTACATTGATCTTCAATCTCTGATATCCTTTCTTCTGCTTGATTGATTTGGCTATTGATACTTGCGTATGCTTCATGACATTCTCATGCTGTGTTTTTCAGCTCCATCAGGTCATTTATGTTCTTCTCTATGCTGTTATTCTAGTTAACAATTTGTCTAACCTTTATTCAAAGTTCTTAGCTTCCTTGCATTATGGCTCAGAGGAGTTTGTTATTACCCACCTTCTGAAGCCTACTTCTGTCAATTCATCAAACTCATTCTCCATCCAGGTTTGTTCTCTTGCTGGCGAGGAATTGTGATCCTTTGGAGGAGAAGATGCATTCTGGTTTTTGGAATTTTCAGCCTCTTTGCACTGGTTTCTTCCCATCTTCATGGATTTATCTGCCTTTGGTCTTTGATGTTGGTGACCTTTGGATGGGGTCTCTGGGTGGACATCCTTTTTGTTAATGTTGATGCTATCCCTTTCTGTTTGTTAGTTTTCCTTCTAACAGTCAGGCCCCTCTGATGCAGGTCTGCTGGCATTTGCTGGACGTCCACCGTGGACCCTGTTTGTCCCTGTATCACCAGTGGAGGCTGAAGAACAGCAAATATTGCTGTCTGTTACTTCCTCTGGAACCTTTGTCCCAGAATGCCAGCCAGAGCTCTACTGCATGAGGTGTTTGTTGGCCCCTACTGGGAGGCGTCTCCCAGTCAGGATACACGGGGGTTAGGGACCCACTTGAGGAGGCAGTCTGACCCTTAGCAGAGCTCGAACGGTGTGCTGGGAGATCCACTGCTCTCTTCAGAGCTGTCAGGCAGGGACATTTAAGTCTGCTGAAGCTGTGCCCATTGTCTGACCACAATGGCCTTGCTGAGCTGTGGAGGGCTCCACCCAGTTTGAACTTCCTGCCAGCTTTGTTTACATTGTGAGGGTAAAACAGCTTACTCAAGCCTCAACAATAGGAAACGCCCTTCCCCGACCATGCTCAGGCATCCCAGGTCGACCTCAGACTGCTGTGCTGGCAGCGACAATTTCAAGCTAGTGGATCTTAACTTGCTGGGCTCCTTGGGGTGGGACCCACCACGCCAGACCACTTGGCTCCCTGGCTTCAGGCCCCTTTCCAGGGGAGTGAATGGTTCTGTCTCATGGGCATTCCAGGTGCCACTGAGGTATGGAAGAAAAAAAACTCCTGCAGCTATCTCAGTCTCTGCCCAAACAGCTGCCCAGTTTTTGGCTTGAAATCCAGGGCCCTGGTGGCATAGGCACCGGAGGGAATCTCCTGGTCTGCAGGTTGCAAAGATCATAGGAAAAGAGCAGTATCTGGGCCAGAGTGCACCATTCCTCATGGCACAGTCCCTCACGGCTTCCCTTGGGTAGGGGAGAGAATTCCCCAAAACCTTGTGCTTTGCAGGTGATGTGATGCCCCACCCTGCTTCGGCTCACCTTCCGTGGGCTTCACCCACTGTCCAACCAGTCCCAGTAAGATGAACTGGGTACCTCAGTTGGAAATGCAGAAATCACTCGCCTTCTGCATGGATCTTGCTGGGAGCTGCAGACCAGAGCTGCTCTTATTTGGCCATCTTGCCAGCAAATGCCCACATGTTATTTAAGTTCCATATGTTTTTACAGTTTCCAAATTCCTCTTGTTATTTATTAGTCATTTTATACTACTGTGGTCAGAGAAGATGCTTTATATTATTTCAATTTTCTTTGAATGTTTAAAGACTTACTTTGTGACCTAACATATGGTATATCCTTGAGAATGATCCATATGCTGAGGAGAATGTGTACTCTATGGGCCTTGGATGAAATATTCTGTAAATATCTTTAGATCCGTTTGATCTATAGTGCAGATTAAGTCTGACTTTTTTCGTTGATTTTCTGTCTGGAAGATCTGTCCAGTGCTGAAAGTGGGGTGTTGAAGTATCCAGCTATAATTGTACTGGGGTCTATCTCTCTCTTTAGTTCTAACAACATTTGCTTTATATATCTGGGTGTTCCAATATTGAATGCATTCAGATTTACAATTGTTACATCCTCTTGCTGAATTGGCCCTTTACCATTATATAATGGCATTCTTTGTCTTTTCTTATAGTTTTTGTCTTGAAATCCAATTTGCCTGATATAAGTATAGCTACTCCTGCTACTTTTTTTTTTTTTTTTTTTTTTTTTTTTTTTTTTTTTTTGGTTTCCATTGGCCTGGACTATCTTTTTCCATCCCTTTATTTTCAAACTATATGCATTTTTGTTTTTTTAGGTGAAGTATGTTTACTGTAGGTAGCATCATTGGGTTTTAGTTTGTTATGCATTCAGCCAATCTATGTCTTTCTTTGTTTTTTTGGGGTTTTTTTTTTTTTTTTTTTTTTTTTTGAGATGGAGTCTTGCTCTGTCGGCCAGGCTAGAGTGCAGTGGTGCGATCTCGGCTCACTGCAAGCTCTGCCTCCCAGGTTCACACCATTCTCCTGCCTCAGCCTCCTGAATAGCTGGGACTACAGGCCCCCACCACCACACCTGGCTAATTTTTTTGTATTTTTAGTAGAGATGGGGTTTCACCGTGTTAGCCAGGATGGTCTTGATCTCCTGACCTTGTGATCTGCCCGCCTTGGCCTCCCAAAGTGCTGGGATTACAGGCGTGAGCCACCGCGCCTGGCCCAATCTATGTCTTTTGATAAGACAGTTCACTCCATTAACCTTCAATGTTATTATTGATGAGTAAGGACATATTTCTCCCATTATGTTATATGTTTTCTGGTCATTTTGTGATTTTTCTCTTCCTTCTTTCCTTCCTGTTTTCATTTTAATGAATGTGATTTTCTCTGGTGTTTTATGTTTTAATATCTTGTTTTTATTTTTTGTGTATCCATTGTATGTTCCATGAGGCTTGCAAATATCTTATAACCCATTACTTTAAACTGAGGACAACTTCACACTAATTGAATAAACAAACTAACAAATAAAACTCAATATTTTAACTTTTGATTTTTAACTTTTTGTTGCTTCCGTTTATATCTTATTATACTGCCTATGTCTTGAAAATTTGTTGTAATTATTATTTTTGATTGGTTCATTTTTTCATCTTTCTACTAGAGATAAGAGCAATTTATACACCACAATTACAGTATTAAATATTCTATGTCTGTCTGTGTACTTACTATTACCAGTGACCTTTGTACCTTCAGATGATTTCTTATTGTTCATCAATGTCCCTTTCTTTCAGATTGAAGAACTCCCTTTAGCATTTCTTGTAGAATGGGTCTGGTGTTAATAAAAACCCTCTGGTTTTGTTGGTCTGAGAAAGTCTTTATTTCTCCTTCATATTAAAGAATATTTTTACCGGATATACTATGCTAGGGTAAAAGGGTTTTTTTTTTCTTCTCCTTCTTCTTCATGTTAAATATGTCATACCACTCTCTCCTGGCCTGTAAGGTTTCCAATGGAAAGTCTACTGCCAGCCATATTGGAGCTCCATTGTATGTTATTTGTTTGTTTATTTTTTTATCCTACTACAATTAAAATCCTTTCTTTATCCTAGATCTTTGGGAGTTTGATTATGAAATGCATTGTGGTAGTCTTCTTTGAATTAAATCTACTTGGTTTTCTTTAGCCTTCGTGTAATTAAATATTGATATATTTATCTAGGCTTAGGAAGTTCTCTGTTACTATCCTGGTGAATCAACTTTCTACCCACCTCCCTCATCTTTAAGGCCAATAAGTTTTAGATTTACCCTTTTCAGGCTATATTCTAGATCTTGTAGATAAGTATCGTTGTATTTTTTTTCTTTTGTGTCCTCTGACTGTGTATTTTCAAATAGCCTGTCTTCAAGCTCTCTAATTCTTTCTTCTGTTTGATAATTCTGCTATTAAAAGACTCTGATGCATTTTTTAGTGTGTCGATTGAATTTTTCAACTCCAGAATTTCTGCTTGATTCCTTTTAATTATTTAAATTTATTTGTTAAATTTATCTGATAGGATATTGAATTCCTTCTGTGTGTTATCTTGAATTGCTATGAGTTTTCTCAAAACAACTATTTTGTATTGTCTGTCTGAAAGGTCACATATATCTGTCTCTCTGGCATTGGTCCCTGCTGCATTACTTACTTCATTTACTGAAGTCATGTTTTCCTGAATGGGCTTGAAGGTTGTAGATATTCATCAGTGTCTTGGCATTGAAGAGTTAGACATTTATCATAGTCTTCCCAGTCTGGGCTTGTTTGCATCTATTCTTCTTGGAAAGGTTTTCTAGATGTTTGAAGACTTTATCACTAGGCAAATACAAATGCAGAAAAAAATAAATCAGGAGATTTTAAGTTTACACTTTAGGCTGATCCATAAATAACTAAAAAATAAAATAAGTAGAAAACCATAGGGAAGAAGGAAAATCAGATTTCCTGAGTTACTGCTTTATTAGATTCAAATGTCCAATATTCAACAAAAAAATCACAAGGCATAGTCCAAGCATGGTGCTCACATCTGTAATTCCAGCACTTTGGGGAGGCCCAGGTGGGAGGATAGTTTTAGCTCAGGAGTGCAAAACCAGCCTGGCAAACATAGTGAAACCCCATCTTTACAAAATTCTTTTTCAAAAAGTAGCCAGGCATGGTGGCACATGCTTCCAGTCCCAGTTTCTCATAAGGCTGAGGTAGGAGAGTTACTTGGGCCCCAGAGATTGAGACTGTAGTGAGCCAGGATTGTACCACTGTACTCCAGCCTAAGTGACAAAGTAAGACCCTGTCTCAAAAAAAAAAAAAAAAAAAAAGAAGAAGAAGAAGAAAGAAAGAAAGAAGGAAAGCAAGAAAAAGAAAAAAAAAAATAACAAGGCATACAAAAAAATAGGAAAGTACACCATATAAAAGGAAAATAAATTAATAAACAGAAACAGTCTTTGAAAAAACCTGATGGTAAATCTACTAGGCAAAGAGTTTTGGATGCTCTTAAGGATGCTCTTGGACCTCTTAAGGATGCTCAAATAACTAAAAGAAGATATGGATAAAGTGTTTTAAAAGTATGAATAAAATTAAAGTGTCAATAAAGTGATAGAAAACCAAAAAAGAAACCAAAAAGAAATAAATGCTGGAGTGAAGAATGAAATAACTGAAAAGACAAATCACTAGAAAGATTCAAAGGCAGTTCTAAGCAAGCAGAGGAAAGAACAATCAAACTTGAAGATAGGACAATGGAAATTATTGAGTCTGATAAACAGAAAGAAAAAATATTGAGAAAAAGTGAATGGAACATAAGAGACCCATGGGAATCATCTGGCTGACCAACATGCATATTGCAGAATTCTCAGAAGCAGAAAAAAAGAGAAAGAGGTAGAGAGATTATTTGAAGAAATAATGGGCAAAAACTTTCTGAACTTGAAGAAAGACATGAATATAAACATCCAAGAACCTCAACAAGCTTCAATAGGTTACATTCCAAGAGTTTAATTCCATCAAGAACACATGATAAACAAATCGTTGAAAGCCAAAGTCAGAGAGAGAATATTGAAAGCAGCAAGAGAGAAGCAACTCATTACATGTAAGAAATCCTTAATAAAACTGCAAGCAGACTTCTCATCAGAAACTTTCAGGGCAAGGGGTCAGTGGGCTGACGTATTCAAAGTACTAATATAAAAAATACTGTCAACCAAGAATTACATATCTGGCAAAACTGTCCTTCAGTAGTGAGGAGAAAAATAAAACATTCCCTGATAAACAAAAGCTGAGGGAGTTTGTTACCACTATATCTGCCTGGCAAGAAATACTAAAGGGAGTCCTGCAGGTTGAAATAGAAAGAACACTAGACAGTAACTTGAAGCCTTATGAAGAAATAAAGATCTCAGTAAAGTTAAATACATGGTCAATTTTAAAAGTCAATATTAGTGAAACAATGATGGGTAACTCTACTTTTAGGTTTCTACACAATTTAAAAGACTAATGCATTAAAAATTATTAGTTTGTGTTTTGGACAGACAATTTATTAAATAAAGATGTAATTCTGTGACATTTAGAACTAAAGGAATGGGGATGGTGCAGTTAAAGGAGAAGAGGTTTTGTATGTTATTGAAATTACGCTGGTATAAATTCAAAGTAGAATTTTAGAATTTTAGGATGTTAAATGTAATCTTCATGATAACTACAAAGAAAATAGCTAAAAATCATCCACAACAGGAAATGAGAAAGGAATTTAAATGTTTTACTACAAAAATCGATTGAACATATACAACAGTAATGCAGGAAATGAGGAACAAAAAGAGTTATAAGGCATATAGAAAACAAATAGAAAAATGCCAAAATCTCTTCTCATTAGTAATTAAACATAAGTGGATGAAACTTTCCAATCAAAAGATGAAGATTGAGAAAATTGATTTTTAAAAATGTGATTCAACTATATGCTATCTATACAAATAGTTTGAAAGTGAAAGGATGGTAAATGCTACTAGTAACAAAAGAAAGTATGTACAGCCATTTTGTCTGATAGTAGTATAGTCATGCATACTTTTGTTTAGTTACTATAGTAAATATGCTGCTATCAAACAAAATTGACTTTAAACAAAAAAGTTCATACAAAGAATGACATTATATATTAACATAAGATTTAATACAAGAAAATATAATAAACATTTATACATTTAATAAAAGTCCATCAAAATATATAAAGCACAATTAATTAAATTTAAGATAGAAATAGACCATTCTACATTATACTCTCAATAAAGGATTGAACAACCAGAAAGAAAATAAGTGCTATAGACTGAATGTTTGTGTGACCAAAATTTATGTTCAAGTGCAATCTTTATTGTGATGGTATTTGGAATTGGGCCTTTGGAAGATAATGAAATTAATGCTCTTTTAACCAGAGGCCAGATAGCTTGCTGTTTCTCTGCTCTCTGATGTGGAAATATAACAAGAAGATGGCAAATTCCAAAGCCAGGAGCCACGTTCCCGCCAAACACTAGATCTGCCAGTTCTTTGATCTTGGACTTTCTTACCTCCAGCACTGTGAGAAATAAATGTGTAGTGTTTAAGCCACCCAGACTATGACATGTTTTTTAGAGGAACCTGACAATAAGCAAGGAAATTGAGGACTTACACACAAGAAATTAACTAGATCTAACAGACACTTATTGAACACTCTACCCAATGGAACAGAATACACATTCTTTTCAAGTGTAAGTTTTTAGGATAAACCATATGTTAGAAAACAAATTAAGCCTTAATAGATTTTAAAAGGTAGATATTATTCAAAGTATCTTCTCAAACCAAAATCGGATAAAGATAGAAATTAATAACATTAGGAAAAATAAAACATTTACAAATTTGTGGCAATTAAACAACACACTCTTAAGCAACCAATGGATAAAAAGATAAATTAGAAAACCAAAAGATACATTAGAAAATATGTAGTGATAAATGAAAATAAAAACACTACATAAAAATATTATAATATACGGTGAAAGTAGTGCTAAAGGAGAAATGTATAGATATAAATACATACATTAAAACGTAAGAAAGATCTCAAATCAACAATTGAACTTTACAACTTAAGGAACTAGAAAAAGAAAAACAAACCTAAAGCTAGCATGAAAATGAAATAATAAAGTCAAGTGCAGAGTCAAATGAAATAAAAGTATAGAAAAATAATAGGGAAAGTTTAAAATAACCAAAAGGTGGTTCCTCAAAAATATCAACAAAACTAATAAAAGTTTAACTAAATGGAGTCTGTATGGAAAACAGAGAAGACTCAAATTACTAAAACCATAAATGAAAGTGAGGAAATTACTACTGATTTTACAGAAATGCGAAATATTATAAGAGAGTACTATGAACAATTGCATGCCAACAAATAAGTAATATAACCTAGATGAAATGGGCAAATTCCTACAAACACAAAACCTGCCAAGACTAAAGCATGAAGAAATAGAAAATCTTAATAGACCTATAATTCATAAAGTGTTTGAATTAGTAATCAAAAATTTTCTCACAAAAAAACATCCCTGGACCTAATGGGTTCACTGGTGAATTCTGTCAAACACTTAAAGAAGAATACCAATCCTTCTCAAACTTTCCCCCAAAATTGAAGACAAATAACAGTCCTGAACTCACTCTATGAGGCCAGCATTACTTTTGGGAAAGGGAGTCTTGTCTGTTCAGTCTTTCAACTCCTGCTCAGTCACATAAGAATGGGTCCTGGGCCTATAACACTTCCTTACCAAGAGATGAAGTGCCTATACAAGCTTTGCTGGGCTTATTGCATTGTGGGGTAATATCTTTCCCTGTTTCAGGCTCAAGGTACAGTCCTTTGTTCTGCTTAAGCTTGTACATAAATAGCTATCAGGCATTTATCCACTTTTCAGTACATCAGACTCTAGTGGGGAGGGAGAGAGCTCATTCTACTGCCACAGGAGAAGGGTGTACATAGGCTAACTGTCCTGTCAGCTGCCAGGAGACCCGCTACCACAATGCACACTATGGGAACTGATTTTATTATGTCTCTTTTCTATGTGATTATAAGAGTTATTCCAGACAGTGCTTGGCTGTGTTGTGTTTTTCTTGGTTACTCTGATACCAAAATGCAGTGAGCAGAAGTGTTTGGACATTGATTGCTGGTGGCTGGCATTGTAATAATTTTTGCTACCTTCTATGTAGTTGGATACCTCTGCCAGCTTCGACAACAAGTACATGTTGTTATGCTCAACAGTTACTCTGATACCAAAGCCAGTAAAGATAAAACAAGAAAAGAAAACTGCAGACAAATATCCCTTATTAACATTGAAGCAAAAATCCTCAATAAAATACTAGCAAACAGAATTCAACAGTATTTTTAAATGGTTATGTGCCATGACTGCTGTGGTTTGAATGTGTCTCTCAAATTCCATGTGTTGGAAACTTAATCCCCAAATTCATATGTTGATAATATTTGAAGATGGAGAATTGGAGAGGTAATTAGGATTAGGATTAGATTAAATCATCAGGTGGTCTCCTATATTAGGACTAGTGGCTTTACAAGAAGAAGAGACACAAGAGCTGGCACACTCTTGCTCTATTGCCATTTGATGTCTTCCACCATAATATAATGCAGCAAGAAGGCCCTCGCAGGATGCCAGTGCCATGCTCTTGAACTTTCCAGCCTCAAGAACTGTGACCTGACTAAATCTTTTTTCTTTATAAATTACCAAGTCTGTGGTATTTTGTTAGAGCAACAGAAAATGGACTAAGAAAATGACCAAATGGGGTTTAATTCTTGGAAGGAAAAGATGGTTCAACATATAAAAATCAATCAATGTAATGTACCAAATTAACAGAATGAAGAAAAAAATCCACACAATCATCTTTATTGATGCAGAAAAAGCATCTGTCAAAATTGAACATCTTTTTATGATAAAACCACTCAACAAACTAGGAGTAGAAGGAAACTACGTGAACGTAATAAAAGCTCTATATGAAAAACCTGAAGTAAACACCTACTCATTGGTGAAAGACTGAAAGTATTTCCTCTAAGGTCAGGAACAAAGCAAGGATACCTACATTTGCCACTTCTATTTAACATAGTACTAAAAGTCCTAGTCAGAGAAATTAGGCAAGAAAAATAAATAAAAAGAGTCCAAATTGGAAAGAAAAAAAGTAAAATTATTTCCTTTGGCAGAAGATATTATGCTATATGTAGAAAACTCTAAAAATTACACACACACACACACACACACATACACACTTAGGAGTAACAAATTCATCAAAGTAGCAACATACAAAGTCAACATAAACAAATCAGTTGCACTTCTAAAGATTAACAATAAAATATCTGAAAAGGAAATTAAGAAAATAACTATGTTCATAACAATATGAAAAATAACAGAATAGTTAGGAATAAACTTAACCAAGGAGGTAAAAGCTTGTCCAATAAAAACTATAAAACATTTCTGAAAACAAAAATCAAAGAAGACACCAGTAAATCTAGATGTCATCAACAAATCATAGGATAAACGAGTATATCCTGTGTTCATGGATTGAAAGACTTAAGATTGTTAAGATGTCAATACTACTTAAACTTATATACAGATTTAATGCAATCTCTATAAAAATCCCAATAACATATTTTTAAAGAAATAAAAAAATCCATCATAAAATTTATATAGAATCTTAAGGAACCACAAAAAGCCCAAGCATCATACAAATCTATAACAATCTAACAGTGTGGTAATGGCATAAAGACATAGAGCAATGGAATAGACTAGAGAGCCCTGAAATAATCCTTTGCATATATAGTCAAATGATTTCCAACAAGGTTGCCAAGACCATCCAATGAAGAAAAGACAGTCTCTTCCACAATATTTCCAGGAAAACCGAATATCCACATGCAGAAGAATTAAGTTATACCCTAATCTGACACCACATACAAAAATTGACTCAAAATGGATCCATGATCTAAATATAATCCCTAAAGCTATAAAACTCTTAGAAGGAAATATAGCACAAAAGCTTCACAACATTGGATTTGGCAATGGTTTTTTGGATATGACAGCAAAGGCACAGGAACAAAAGAAGAAATAAACTAATTGGATTTCATGAAATTTGTATATCGAAAGGTACTATACTATCAATAGAATATAGGGAAAACCCACAGAATGAAGAACATATTTGCAAATAATATATCTGATAAACAATTAGTATCCAGAGTATATAGAGAACAGCTAAAACTCAGCAGCAACAGCAACAACATTTCAAAAATAGGCAAAGGACTTAAATAAACATTTTTTTCAGAGAAGATATAGGAGTGGCCAAATAGCACATACAAAGATGGTCAACATTAGTAATCATTAGATAATTGCAGATCAAAACCGCAATGAGATACTACCTTACTCCTATTAAGATGGCTATTATCAAAAAAAAAAAAAACAGAAAATACATATTAGAGAGCATGTGGAGAAATTGGAATCCGTAAGCACTGTTGATAGGAATGTAAAATAATATAGACATTGTAGAAAGCAGTATGATAATTTCCTAAAAAATTAAAAATAGAATTGCCATATATCCAGCAACTCTACTCATAGGTATCGTAGGGGAGAAAAAGTATCTTCTTATCCAATATAAGGTTCATGGCTGAGACCTTGTATTAGCCTGTTCTTGTGCTGCTAATAAAGACATACTTAAGACTGGGTAATTTATAAAGGAAAGAGGTTTAATTGACTCACAGTTTCACATGGCCAGGAAAGCCTCACAATCATGGAGGAAGGCAAATGAGGAGCAAAGTCATGTCTTACATGGCAGCAGGCAAGACAGCATGTGCAGGGGAACACCTCTTTAGAAAACCATAAGATCTCATGCAACTTATTCACTATCATGAGATCAGCACAGAAAAGACCCACCCTCATTTTTCCATTACCTCCCACTGGTTCTCTCCCATGACAGATGGGAATTATGGGAGCTACAATTCAAGATGAGATTTGGGTGGGGACACAGCCAAACCATATCAGACCTTTAAAACAAAAGACAGATTAGCAGGAGAAAGGCATACAAATGTATTTAATAAAAGTTTTACATATCAAGAAAGCCTTCAAAAATGAAGGCCTAAAGGTATAGAAAAAAACTGTATTTTTATGGTTAGCTTTGATGAAAAGTAGATAGTCATGTAGAAGTATGATGGGACAAAAGGGGGTATCATCTAATGGTAATAAACTAAAGGAAACTTCATAAGGCTGTTTGTTCAGATTCTTCTTTGTGTCCCTGTGTCTTCATTCCTTTCTTCCAGTTATAGACAGGACCCTTCTGGAATGAGGGTCTTATGACCTCTTTTAGAGGAAGGTCAGAATATTTTTTTGTGGCTTGCTTCGGGGGAGAATGGTGGGGAAAGGTCAGAGAGAACTTCCTGCTTTCCTGTTTTCTCAAATGGTAAGGTGTCATACTTTGGGTTAGTGTGTCTTAAACCCTGTCATTACATATCTAAAAGAATTAAAAGGAGGGTCACTAGGAGATACACATGTTCATAGCAGCATTATTTACAATAGCTAAGATGTGGAAGCAATCCAAATGTCCATCAACAGAAGAATGGACGAGTCAAATGTGGTATATACATATGGTAGAATATTACTCAGCCTTAAAAAAGAAGGAAATTCTGACATATTCTACAACATGGATGAACCTTGAGAACATTATGCTAAGTAAAATAAGCCAGTTACAAAAAGACAAATACTGTATGATTTCACTCATATGAGGCACCTAGTGTAGTCAAAATTATGGAGACAGAAAGTAGAATGGTGATTTCTAGGGGCTGGCAGGAGGGAGAATGGGGAGTTACTGTGTAATGGGTACAGAGCTTCAGTTTTGCAAGATGAAAAATGTTCTGAAGATAGGTAATGGGTATGGTTGCACAACAATGAGAATGTACTTAAGGCAACTCAAATGTACACTTAAAAATGGTTAAGATGGCACATTTTATCTGCTATGGTATGTGTATTTTAGCACAATAAAAATGGAAACATTATTTTAGGATTTTATAGTGCTAATTTCTAATATTTGTTCAAATGTTTCGCCTGAAGATAGATTGATATTTTTATAAACACACGTCCTAGACATGAGGTAGGATGTTAGAAATTGACGAAATGAGACAATTATTTGTGGGAAGGAAGAAGGTGGATGAAATAGGAATATCTTTCCACACAATAGATTTCTATGCAATAAGCAAATAGAAATGTGGGACCACAGAAAAGGTTAGAGAACAGGTGTATAGAACAATATTAAACTTAATTATCGGACACAGAAGAAAATCCCTTTAGGTCATCAAGAAAATAATCAAATAAAGCCAAAAGAAAACACTTTTCACTCAAATATGTACTTACGCAGGAAACCTCATTTTGCCACTTTAATACAAAACATTTACTTTGTAAATATACATACTTGATTTCTTTTGCAAATAGTAAATATCAAAAGCCAAGAAGGCCAAATAAAGATATTTCCTTTCTTGGATATTCTTTGACTTTGTCAATTAGGAAGTTAAGACAGATCATGAAGCTCAGTTTTCTGTATCTTCATGAAAGTAGGTGTGATAACATTTGAGCCACTGGAAGTATTGAACAGCATTTGTTGCTTATTATTCCCAAAGCATGCAAAGGTAAAATTCCATTTTAAATATAGATTTATACAGCCTGATTCTGACTATCGCCTCTGAATTATCACTGCTTCCATAGTCAGGAAACCGAATTTCCTGAATCAGAACTGTGCAAAGAAACTCTCCATCTTGCAAGGACACAGCCAGTGCTGCTGCCAATGCAGGTCAATCAAGTTATAATGGGCTCTAATTAGCACTCCACAAGCTGTTAAATTCTTTACCTGCAGCTGAACGACAGTTAAAAAGGTGTGAAATTTTTTCTTTTCTTTGAAAACATCACAGAGTTCAATTTTTTTCCCTAATCTTTTTCTTATATCTTGAAGTCCATAGAAAGAACCAAAAGAAAAAGAGAAAAGATGATTGAGATTCAAAAGGTTATGATTTTTTAATCTTTTGGGATAAGATATCTACTTGACTACTGTCCCTCAGTTTTCAGGTCTGTACAATGGGATGTGAACAAAAATACCTCCCTTGCTAAAGACTGTGAGGAATAATTATTCAGCCTTCGTAATGCTCTTTGAAGTTGGAGAAAATGATTCATGTGCTAAGTGTCATAATCACCAATCTAAGCCCAGGCAGAAATACCAGGAAAATTAAAGCCAGCTTTGAAGGAAGAAAAAAAAAACTATTCTTGATGCACATAGTTTTATGTTTCCGACACTAGCACAAATTTCACAAAATTAGAGTTAGCAAAGTTATAAAGAGAAAACTTTTCATGCAACTCAATTGTATGTCCCTTCTGATCCCGAACTAAACATCATACAAGCAATCTGGTCTTGAAATAAAAGAGTATTTCTCAGATGATATTCATCATTTCTTACTTATCAGCATAGAAAAATGAATTTAGTACATGCAGGTGTAACTGTAATCATGCTTGAAAAATTATTTACAAAAGAAGGCAAAATGATCCACTAATCACATTGTGCTTGGTGTCTCTTTTCACTTCCTTTTTATGTTACATAATTACAATCTCAGAACATTTAAGTTACATTGTTTCTTATGGTGTCTATTTCAATTTGGATATAGCTTCATATTAAAATTATCATCAATAAACATAAAAATGTCCACTGAATGCTTCACAGTGTAATAGATCCTGTTTGGAACTAAAAAAAAAAAAAAGAAAAACAGCATCACGACCTTCAAGGATGTCAAATTTCATTAAGAGACAATATAAAAACAACAAAAAAGTCCAAATTTCTTAAGTATTAAAAATAATAAACATATTCTCAGATAAAAATGATGTTTTCCAGAAGAGAGGGAAAGAAAAGGAACTTATATTACTTGTCATATGAGTATGTTTTTACTTAAAATATTGAGGGTTTTTTAAGCATTTATGAAAAAGAAATGACTGAGGAAAAATAATTGAAAAACCAATAGATAAAAAAAGAGAACTATTAAGACTGGAAACTGACAGTCCATTCAGTAGGTTTTGTCTGCTGCGATTTTGATGCTAGTAGCCTGTTCTTAAGGTATCAGCTTCAGTGGATTAACAACTTCCACATATATGTTCGCCCATCCAGACTTCTGTTCTATATTTCACTATATTCAAATGCATATCACTCACCTTTAATTAAATGTCCTGCAGCCACCTCGAGTTCATTTGTCTGAAACTGAATGCATTACATTCCTTACCTTTCTCTTGCTGTGTCTTATCTCAGATAATGGTTCTTCTTTTCACCTAGAATGTGGCATTAGAAACCTGAGCTTCATCTTTGACTCCACCCCCTAACTACCCACATCGAGTCTATTACCAAGTCACACCACTGTTACTTCCTAAGTATTGCTCCAATGAACCTACATTTCTTCAGTCTCCCACCCTAGTTTATCTCACTGTCATCCTTTGGCTAAATGGGGATGTTTCACTTCGTGTCAAGAGAAATGACTTCAACTTCCTTAAGCAAAGACTATGTGTTTATGGCGAAGATCCAAGGCAGCTCTCAGAAGCATGGGACAGGTGGATGATTTGGCTCAAGAAGAATAGGAACAGGAATTGAGATTGCAGGAATGAATAATGCCTCTGTTTATTTGAGTGAACATCAAAATTTTGCAGTTTTTTGTCATTTATCTCCAGGGTAAAACTCCATGAATAGAGTATATAATTGGCTGGATTTGAGCCATGTGCCCAATCCTTGACCAGGTCTGGGTGCAGCATTTCAATGGAAGATTTATATGCTGAACAGGGAACTACTATAAGATGTGATATCTTCCTTCTTACTGTTTCTGATCTTACTTCCCTTTCTCCCACTCTGTACATAGCCCGAGTGACCATCCTGAAACATAAATGTAAATGGAACTATGATATCCCACCTAAACCACTGCAACTGCTGCCTACTTATTACAGAAAGAAAAAAGTCCTCACAACTTCATGAACTGGCCCCCTCTTTACGTCCCCTGCTCCACTTTCTGCCATTCTAATTCTCACATCTCCCATACACGCATGGGTTCCTACTACACTGACATTCTTGGGAAACATTACATATTGTTTGCTTTGGATCTTTCAAAATATTCTCTGCTGAAAATACTCTTTCTTCTCCTCTTTGTCCTTTTTATGTGTTCCATATAACTTCCTAGCATAACCGTGTGTTAAAACTGCTGGAGTGCTTTTTGTATTGTTACCTTGATGTAGGGTTGTGCCTTCCCAAAATATATCTCCACCCAGAATCTCAGAATGTGATTGTATTTGGAAAGAGGGCCTTTGTAGATATAATTAAGTAAGAATCTCAAGATGCCCTCATCGTGGATTTAGGGTGGGTCTTATATCCAGTGACTGGTGTCCTCAAAAGAAGAGAAGACACAGATACAAAGGAAAGAAGGTCTTATATAAACAGAAGCAGAGATTGAATTTCTGCTACCACAAACCAAGGAATGCCGGGGGCTTACCAGACACTGAAAGACAAGAAGAATCCGTCCTAGGAACTTCAGAGGAACAAGGCCTTGCTGACGCTTTGATTTCTGTTTTCTGGCCCCCAGAACTGTGAGAGAATACATTCCTGTAGTTTTAAGTCACTAAGTTTGTGATGATTTGTTACAGCAGCCTCAGGAAACATAGATCTTGACAATGTGGTCTGTAATGCCAACAGGAAAGACATTTTTGTATCCCAAGAGCTTAGCATAATGCCTGTCACATAGTAGGCTTTCAATAAATATATTTTTCAATAAATATTTTTAGAATGAATGAATGAAAGCAGGTCAGCCATATCTTCTCCATATCTCTAGAATACTAAGTGTTGGCTCTATTCTGACCCATCCCCATTCCCACAATTAGTGTTATCATCTACATACACACCTTAGTAATCCTCAGATGTGGTAGATCAGTGTCTATTAAAGTGTACTCTGAAGATAGTTCCTCAGGTTTATTTAAGCTAAAGTACGTGGGGGAGAATATACCTCTTAAGAAATGTGCATTTTATCTGCAAAAAAACAAAAAGGCTTAAGCTGAAGAACAAATATCTTGCTTTAGAATTTCATGCCTCAGTAGAAAATACAGGTAATATTGTTTTAGGCCAAGAAGATAACCTTGGGTTTCTAAAATTGTCACCTTTTTAAGATTCTGTGGATTGTATGACCTCATCTGATCCCAATCTTTTGCAAATACATCTTTTATTTAACAATTTTAAGATTTTACCAAGCAGGCATAAATATCTTAAATTCCAGAATACCACCTTCTGGGTAAAAGAGTAGTAATTTTGACTAAATGAAAACTCAAAGCAAGGAGCAATGGCAATCTAGTCTTGAGCACAAAGGTAAATAACTGAATATAGATTCTGTCCTGGAACAAAACAGATTCTGTATTTCAAATGCTACTTTGCAGGACATTGGCAATATTTGTTGAATCAATCCGTCTTCAACATTTGTATACTAAATAGATGCCAGCTCATTTTAAAGCAACAAACACATAAGCAAACCAAAATAACAAAGGCTTGCTTATAGCTTCAGATTTCCTTACCCTTCATGAATCACACATACACTCACACATATGCACACTAAATGTTACAATAAGGTTTTTCACTATATGCACGTCAGTTAGAATTTTAAAAAGAGCTGAACTCCCAGGGTTATTAAGAGCTCTTTTCTCACCAGTTCCATCAGTCATTGTCCAATCTCACAAATGGAATAACAAAACCTTGTGAAGGAAGGTATTAGCACTCACTCTGAAGCGCTATATACTATCTGTCTTAATATTCCAATTTTGAAGATTTCTTAGATGACACATTTTAAGATTGTCTTGCACGTAGAGTTTATATTGAAACCCTTTAGCACCTCCTAACAAAAACTATATCACTTATCATTTATTATCCACAAGAAAAGACTGAAAATTTCAGGAGTAGGCCTTGAAAAACGTAGCCTGTAGTATGCAGGCAATGAACTCTTGCTAACTGGGTAAAGATGCTTCATAAATTCTGAAAATTAATGATACACTCACACATAAAATTATAGAGTGTAATTTTCTGCCCTATTCCAAAAACAAGTTTTCTGGAGCTAAAACTATTGTATAATTTTTAAAAATTGGGGGATGTAAAGAAAATATTAAACATTTTGATCATCTTTTGAAAAATGAGAAGTATCAGTTGGTTATTTCTTAAAAGATGTTTAATTTAAGAAACTGAAAATGTATTACTGATGACTGAAGGAAAGCAGATTGACCTAGAAAGGTGATTGACTGCTTGGGAATATCACAAAAGAATAATGTTTTCAATGCACCCAGCTAATGGAATGAGCATGTTTTAATGCATGAGGCCACACTATTCTGCATATGCCTAAGAAAACTGTACAACACATTTCCTGAGCTTAGAATATTGAGGGAGAAAGTGGGCTTATGAGCCTTTCTTCTGATTCTTGGCTGAAGCAATGAAGG
This sequence comes from Homo sapiens, assembly GCF_000001405.40. NCBI lineage: Eukaryota > Metazoa > Chordata > Mammalia > Primates > Hominidae > Homo > Homo sapiens. The sequence goes on along the minus strand of NC_000013.11, from coordinate 72,045,770 downwards.
TGCCTCCCCTTGAATCCCCTTCCCTGTATTTGCTATGTCAGAGCATGCTTCTGGGGTGATTAGACAAATGAGCCACAAAATAGAGCGAAGGCCAAGGAGAGAGTAGTCTCCAGAGTTAATACATTTTGGGATACCTGATCAGGGATGTTATCCCAGTCAATTGGGGGCTATATGATAGTCACAACCCGGGCAGTCTCTTCAGTTGTTGGACCCTGTCCTCGGGAAAGTCTAGCGCCCTTTCGTATCTGCCAGCTTCTCATATTCCCTCTGTGCTGCCAGCCTTTTCCCACTCGATTTTCATTTTATACAAAAGATCACTTTTCTTGGCATCCCACCTCGGCCCCATTATGTTTACTCTTTTATCTGCTGTTCTTACAGTCATCAGCTTAAGTAGTTTATCAAAGGAAAATTTCTGGATAACTCAGATGACTTTCTGTTATTTCACATACAACAATCCACATGTGTAAATAACCAAATTCTGGTTTGGAGTCATTACAAAATGGTCTGTTTATAAATGCAGTTAGATTTATACATGAATTTATAAATGGGTTTATAAATGAATTAAGATCAATTCATTTACAGCATTGAGAACATTGTCTGGAACAAAGTAGGTACTCCATAAAAGGGAGTACTTATTTCTATTGTTTCAAAAACTAAGCTCACCACTTCATCATTACCAAATTTATTCTTTCATCTTACATTCCTGTCTCAGGTAACTCACTGCCATTCACCCGGGAGAGGTTGGCATCAGCTGAGGATCACAATTTCTGGGTCACTTAGTCTGAGTGCTCCAGAGAATATCCGATTTGCTCAGATCAACTTTTAGATAAAGTTGCCCAAGCCAGGTTTTTATCCTTAGTCCAGTAAACCATAATAGGGGAGGAATCAGGCAAGATCATTTGGTTAAATCTAGAAAATAGTTTTCGAAGGCTGTTTTTTCAAGTAGACTCTTAATAGGTTAAATAGGCAGAAACAAAGACTTCAATGGGATTCAAAAAAACATCCATCTGGCACCAAATCCCATGGTCCTCTCATTATATCATGTTGGTTGCTATTGGCTATTTTCTTTATTTGACATGTACATTTAGGCTATTATATCATCTCCCTTGGTTTTAACTACCACCATACCCAGTTCTGCATCTTCAATTCTGATCCCATTCCCAAATCTCCTACTTAAAAATCCAACTATCTGTTGGATTATAGTCATTAGGATGTCTCAGAAATTGCATCAAACTAAACATGTGCTTACCTTAAAGAATTACTCTGAGAACTAGAACTAATCCATTTAAAGCATTGAGAAT